>NC_000004.12:81648653-81800168 GCF_000001405.40 Homo sapiens | reverse complement strand
ATTTGGTTTACTGATTGCTCTTATCTTCCAGATTTAAATTCCTGACTCTGTATCCCCTAAGATAGATGTCCGCCTCTGAGGCGTCTCTTGGATCATCAACACTTCCTGACTGTCCTTTCCTCTGCTGCTGCTGCTGGCTTGGCTTTCTCTTCAGGCCCTGGCCTCTTCCAGGTGAACTCATTCCCCTTTAGGCCCTAACATGACAGGTGGCTACCCTTGCCTGGTTCCTCAGGTGGTATCACAATCCTCCTAAGAGATTGGGCTTTCCATCACCCACTTGGATGGAGCTGCTGCCACTGTCTTTTATGGCCTGCACCTGGGAAACACAGGCCTGGGTGAGAACACAGACTTAGGCACACAGCAGCAGATAGCTCTGCTGATGGCCACGGAGGCTGGAGAGGTCAAGTAAGGAGGCAGAATGGTATGTGTTTCTACTCCTGAGGTTAGAAGCTAAGGCAACAGTAAGTCCTTATTGTGCCTCAGAAACACCTGAGGAAATTTAATAAACTGGAGATTCCTGAGCTTACATCTTCTCGCTGAGATTCTGATTCATTTGTTCTGGCATGTGGTTTGGGCAGTGGCAAATTTGAGAGCTCTTTGGAGGATTCTTACCTGCAGGCAGAGTTAAGAACCAGTGAATTAAGGGAGTGAGTGGTTTCCCATGCCTAAGTGTATTTTCTGATGCAATGGCCCTGGTTAAGTGGACCCAGCATGCTACCAACCTGATCTCCTCCATGGCTTGGGTACTGCCTCCAGGTCCCCACTGCTAGGTGATCTGGAAAGCTGTGGCACCTCCCTCATTGATCTTTGTTTGACACCACCTCTAATGTGGCCTCAGTGTTGTCACTCTCTGGGATTCTTTGAACTAGACTCGCATCTCTTAGGTCTGCTCCTTAGAAAGCTTGAGTCATGAAGTTGTCTCTCTAAAACCAGCTCATCTGGGCTTCACAGACTGAAAACTTGAAGTCATGTGTTTGGTTCACAATACCCGGAGGAATATTGACTAAATACACATCCTAATACACATATCCATCCTTACTTAAACTCTCAAGAAAAATATAGGGTCTGTCATTGTATCTGGTAGGATTCGTGCATACGTGGTTAGGAAGAACTTCCCAGATGATTCTAATAGGTCAGACTCTGATTGAGATCCTCTGCTAAATGATCTGAATTTTACCTGGAAGACATCAATAAATATTTGGACTTCTGACCTGTATTTGTTCTATGATAGAAACTGCTAGGCTATCTGCCTACCAAACTTTTTCATCCTTTTTTCCCTAGTAATAGAGTGTGCTGGGCACATGTCTACCTAGACAGGAGTTAAATTTCCCACTCCTCCTGTAGTTAGTTGTGGTTCAAGAGACTGAGGTTTCACTAATAAAAAGTAGAAGTGATGTTTACTGCTTCTGGGCTGGGGCTCTTAGGATAGTGAACAGCCTTCTCCATGGCCTCTCTGTACCCTTCCTGCTAGCTGACCAGGGCAGCTTTGGAAGCCACATGTTGAAGCTGGCAGAACCATTGTCAGCCCAAGGCTCTGAAAGCACAAATGAAGCAGAGCTGACAGCCAACCTGAAACACTCACCCCAGACTGGTACACGAGAGGAAAATGAGCTTCTGTTCCTAAGTTATATACAATTTTTGCCTGATCTTGTCTTACCTTGATTGTTTTGATTGAAATTCATGCTGCCAACAATGCAGTGGCAACATTTTTGTCCCCAAAGCAAATAGTTCCAGGTTATGTTAACTTTCCCAAAGGTTGGAAACACTACCTAGGAGAGGTCTATCAAATATGACTATTCCAGGATATAAATAGAGCATGGAGCAGACAGGTGGCTTGACTAAGCTGGGCCAGTAGGGCTTCAGTCTTCCAGCATGGCACTTTACATCCACTCTCTATCTGACACCTGAATGGTCAACTGCCTTTTCTTATAAACCAGAATATCAGGGAGTGTCAGAAGTTTCAAACTCTGAAAGATGCACTGAAGATCAAAGATGTAACTTATGTCTTTGAATTCATTTAGCAGCTGCCAAATCTGCCATTAAGCAGACTTTAAAATCATATATTTATTGTGTGCAACATGATGTATTGAAGTATATATACATTGAGGAATAGTTAAATCTAGGTAATTAACAAATGCATTACCTCACATACTACTACCTCTGCTTTTTTTTTCAAGAATCCAATATATCATCATTAATCATCACCATGCTTTACAGTACATCTCTTGAACTTATTCTTCCTATCTAACTGTAATTATATGTCCCTTGACCAACATCTCCCCATTCCCCCTCTCCCTAAGTACCCTGGCCTCTGATAACCACCATTTTGCTCTCCACTTCCATGAGACCAACTTTTTCAGATTCCACATATGAGTGAGATCATGCAGTGTTTGTCTTTCTGTGTCTGGCTTAGTTCACTTACCATAATGTCCTCCAGTTCATCCATGTTGTTGAAAATGATAGGATTTTGTTCTTTATTATGGTGGAGTCATATTCTATATATGTGTATATATACCACATTTTCATTATCCATTCATCTGTTGATGGACACTTAGGTTGATTCCATATTTTGGTTATTGTGAATAGTGCTACAATAAACATGGGAGTGCAGCTGTCTCTTCAGCATACTGATTTCATTCATTTCCTTTGGATGTATACCCAGTAGTGGGATTGCTGGATCTTATGGTAGTTCTATTTTTAATATTTTGAGGAACCTCCATATTGTTTTCTGTAATGGCTGCACTAATTTACATTCCCACCAACAGTGTGCAAGAGTTCCCTTTTCTCCACATCCTCACCAACACTTGTTATCTTTGTCTTTCTTATAATAGCCATTCTAACAGGAGTGAGATAATATCTCATTGTGGTTTAGATTTGCATTTCCCTGATGATTAGTGATGTTGAGCAGTTTTTTTCAGAAACTTATTGACTGTTTGTATGTCTTCTTTTGAGAAATACTTGTTGGGATCTTTTGCACATTTTTAAATTGGGTTGTTTTCTTCTTATTGAGTTGAGTTCCTTATATATTTCCATATTAATCCCTTATCAGATGTATGGTTTACAAATACTTTCTTTCATTCTGTAGGCTGTCTCTTCACTCTCTTGATTGTTTCCTTTGCTGTGCAGAAGCTTTTTAGTTTGACGTAATCCCATTTGTCTACTTTTGCTTTTGTTTTCTGTGCTTTTGGGGTTATAGCCCAGACCAGTCTTGTTTCCCCTGTATTTTCTTCTAGTAGCTTCATGGTTTCAGTTCTTATGTTTAAGTCTTTAATCTATTTTAAGTTGATTTTTGTATATGATGAGAAATGAGGGTCTACTTTCATTTTCCTGCCTGTGGATATCTAGTTTTCCCAATATTGTTTATTGAAGAGACAGTCCTTTTTCCCATTGTATTTTCTTGGTGTCTGTTGAAATCAGTTGACTATAAATGCATGGATTTACTTCTGGAATCTCTATTCTGTTCCCTTGGTGTATGTGTTGCTTTTTATAGCAGATTTTTGTTTTTGGAGGAAATCAGGTAGATTTCCCAGCAGCCAGAAGATGCTGAGAACTTGCTGAAATTCAGACTTACCCAAGAATGGCCCCCAAAAGATATTAAATAAAGAGATGGGAGGATCTTTTTTAATGAATTATCTGTCATTTAGTTATTTCTGTATATGAGCAGGTAACTCAAATACTACAGCTCTGCCTTATTGCCATATTACTACTGGCTGACCTTTAATAACCATTCAAGACCCTGAACATGATTATACAGACTTCTGGTAGCCTGATTAATAATAAGACCCATTCCTACACACACCAGTCATTGGAACAAATGTGCATGGACCAGATACATCCAAAATTCCAAAGTGGAGAATAGATTTTCTCCTAATCCACAAGGACTGATAGATTGCCATTATGATGGATTTCACCATGAACCTGCCTCCCTCCCACAGCTACAATGGGTCTGCCCTTACTAAGATGGTAGAACACAGAGAAGCACATAATAGTTACAGAGTTTTCATACTCTGTTCATTAGGGAGATTCCTCCCTATACAATTAATGCTTGAACTCTGATTCCAGGTATCAATTTATATGATGAATCTAGAAGGCACAGTTCAAAATCTTGTGTGTCCAGAATCATCCATCCTGGGATCCTAATCTTCATGCTGATTGTCCAATGTAACATGTTAGTAGAATCCTGGCCCCTTCTACATATAACCTGCCATTCCATGTATCTCAACACTGTTAAACCTAACATATAATGATTTAAAACCCTCCTCAATACAGAAAATCCTACAGCTTCTTTCTCTATTTTTTATTGCACCTCCAAATACTACAACTTCAATATCTGGCAGGTACCTGGAAAAACTGCCAGTTATTCAAGAAGATTTGTAAGATACCCTTTTTATGTCAAGAGGCAATTTGGTGCTAATTCTTATAGACCTGGTCATCAGGAAAGCAGTCTGAATGGAAGAAACCTTATTTTCCAAGCACGAATATAGAATCTTTCCTATAAAAGGATCTGGGGACCACTCTTTTGAACTATTTTAAAACAAGCAAACAAAAATGATGGCATTCCATTTCTAATATCCTGTGCTTGTAGGCTCACCCTGGCTTTCACTGCTCCCCATCACAACTGCCCCTCAGAAATTCTGCCCTCACATCCATTCTCAGCCTAGTCATCACAGCCTTAGGCAGACAGAGAGTATATAGGAGTGGACTTTACCATCCCAGAGGACAATAATCCTTTTCAACACCTGATTCAAGGGAAAGGTATGGGCCTCAGCCTACCTCTCACCTGGACAATTCCTTGGCCATGCTAGTGTATACCATCTGATAAATCCAGAATGGCCTTGAGACCCACTGAACAGGGAAGGATTACAGGAGAAGGCCATGCACCAACCTTCACCTTATTCTAGCCTTTTTAAATGTAGACAACTGTGAACACAAGCTGCAAAGGCTAGCTGATAGAGTTCAGGGATTTCACGAGCACTCTACGCTTTGATTCTGACCCACTTGCCTTCACTCGGTCTCCAAAATCTGGCTCATACTTGATTTCAATAACCACCTGCACCCACTTCCAAATTTGGTCATGTTTTCTACCTCTCCCACTAGGCTTTCAGATTTTATTTTCCTTTAAGCCTTCTGGCCTAGCTCACCCACCCCACTGCCCACCTGTACCTGAACATGCACATGTATACACAGAGACATAGGGCAATGGAAGTATGATGTAAGATGAGGCACAAGTAGTAGTCGAAGACCAGAGGATGAATGACCTCCTAAGTAGTTTGGATTCCATCCTTCAGACTGAAGATTCACTGAAGAATTTTAAGCAGGAGAATGACATTTTAAAAAGATCTTTTCTCTAATAAATGCAGCATGCAAGATATTTAGAACTGGTTACCACTAAAAGCAAGATGCTACTGTGTTAGCTGAAGCCAGAACTAAACGCATGCTTTGTAACTTAGTTGTTCCTAGGCCTTTCCTTACTCTTAGCTCTTTAAATAACAAGAAACTTTTTATCTACCTCTGTGTTCTGTCTGTCATATAATGGTTACTTGATCAACATTTTTAAAACTAAGCCAAGCAAGCAAGCTTGATCTGCACAATCAATGTAAATTGGAAATATTAGAAGAGGCAGCAAAAGGGAACCAAGGAAGAGAGAGGGGAAATATAATAATAGAAAAGTAGGTTTTTACCTAGAACATGGGGAGATGGGAGTGGATAAAACATGTTCTTAGGAAAGAATATATGTGCAAGTTACAGTAGGCACATATCACACAAAAATAATAAAGTATGTGGCTTTTCTAGAATGTAAGGGAAAAACAAGAATAAATTGTGGAAGACTAAGAGTGCAGTTTATGTGGCTGGAAAGAAGATGACATGGTTTGGATATTTGTTCCTGCCCAAATCTCATGTTGAATTGTAATCCCCAGTGTTGGAGGTGGGGTCTGGTGGGAGGTGGTCAGTCATGGGAGTAGATACCTCATGGCTTGGTACTAAACTCGTGATAGTGAGTTCTCACGAAATCTGCTTGTTTATAAGTGTGTGGCAATTTCCTGTCACCTCCCCCCCCCTTGCCTTGTGATGTGCCTGCTCCCCCTTCACCTTCCACCATGATTGTAAGATTCCTGAGGCCCTCACCAGAAGTGGATGCTGGCACCCTGCTTCTTGGACTGTCTGCAGAACCATCAGCCAATTAAACCTCTTTTCATTGTAAATTACTCAGCCTCAGGTATTTCTTTATGGCAATGCAAGAATGGCCTAATACAGAAGAGAAACTTGATGTAATTTTAGTTCCAACAATGAAACCAGATACAAAGTGGAAACCCATTGTTGATGAAGGAGGAAAGGAGAGCTGTTCATAGGTAAGATTTCTCTTGCATGGAATCTGAGTTGGAAGATGTTCATAAAAAATAAATTGTGAATGCACATCCTCCTCAAAAGATATGTGGAATGGAAAAATTATTTAAGGACATACATCTTTCTGTACTGTAAGAATGACAGTTTGAGGGAAGAATTTATATCTTGAGAAAAAACGGTGGAGCCCACAGCAACCGATATCTGATACATGAAGCCAGCTACTTGGAATAAATCAGCCAGAAGATGAGATTGAAGCACAACATTCGAATCAAATTTACAACATGGATATAAAATGACGAAGCTGGTAAATGGCATTAACAATAGTTACGTGCCACAAAAATGACAATAGATGTGAAATGTAAAGTGAATAAAATACCCCTTAAAAGTTCAGCTACAGCAACAACTGAGTGTTCTAGCTTTCTTGCAATAAATCTCTTAATCTGTGTCTCCTACTGGTTCTGCTTTCTTTGGGTGAACCCTGACCGATACACAGATTAACAGTTGGCTATACATAGAATCAAGCCTTGTATTGGCTGCTCCATTCATTATACAGTCGTGGGTCTGGCTAGTCAATTCTGAAATCCATAGGTCAGGCTGTCCAGAAAGGAAAGCTAGAACTCTCATGCTTGGGCTGAAGCTGCTACCCACAGTGGGAATCTCTTCTTTTTTTCAGTCCTGCTCTTAACGACTTTCAGCAGATTGAATCAGTACCACCCAGATCATCTAGGAAAATCTCTGTTAAAGTCAACTGATTATGGCCTTTAATCACAACTACAAAATACCTTCACAGCAACAACTAGATTAATGTTTAATTGAATGACTGGGACTGTAGCCTCGCCAGATTGACACATCAAAAGATCATCATACTGTCTTAAGAAAACTTGATAAGAATAGGATGTTAAATGAAAAAGGATATAATTATAGAAGCTCAGTCAGAGAGCATGCTAGTCATTTATTCTGATAGAAAAGAAAGGGAGAACACATTTAAAATATAGGACTGGACTATCAGAAATGTTAGATGGAGCAAAGCCATTTGTTCATTCACTTACTCATACACTTGTCCATTCATCAAACATTTGTTTCTAGTCAATGTATGAGATAGTAAGAGTATAGCAATTAAGGCACAGCCTTTTCCAGTAAGTAGCTTCCAGCCTGGTGGGAGAGATAAGAGAATTAAAAATACATACTAACTTGTGTGTTTTAGAATACAATATCATAGAAGCATATATACTGTGGGAACAGTAAGGAAGAGCCATGATGATGGTAGAAAAATGGTAAGGAACCATTTATTAAAGGTATAGAAATAGATGACGGACCAATAAGAATTTTCAGCATGTATGAGAAGATTAACAAAGACAATGAGAATAAAAATAAAGTTTAAAAGTAGGCAAACATGGGAGGGTAACCTTGTTTCCTCTTATATATTCATGATGGGTGGCTCCCCCCAAGAATATATGTGATCCCACCAACAGTAATGAATATTCTTTTATGGCCTGTAAAAAATAGCACAGTCTCAGAGGGCAACTGTGCATCTACTAGGCTAAAGGAAAAAGAACATGCTGTATAGAATTTATTCACACTTCGGGGTTACTGTATTTCAGCTTTAAGAAGCCAGAAGATGATAATGATGGGTTGTGTATGTGGTTAACTGAAATACCAGATGCCTGAGTTGGCTCAAAAGGCTCCACTGAGAAGAAATAATTTTTTATTATAAATTTATCTGTCCAAAAAGGCACCAGGTTATGTTTTCTTCTTCTTTTCCCCTTTGCCTTCCAGAATAGATGGATCACCATTGTATCAACTTGGACTCTTGGTTGTAATAAACAGAAATCAATTCAAACTGGCTGAACAAAAAATAACTTATTTGTAAGAATGCACGAATGAATCATAGGCCCAAAGGCAGGAAGGTAGGCAGACCTCAGAAAGGAGCTAGGCCTAGACACTGGGATTTTCATCATCTCTCTCCTTTTCTCCTTTCTGCCCAATAGCTTCATTCTCTTTGGGACCAGCTTTCTTTGCTCACCAATATGCCCGGTGGAATATCTGCTGCACTGTGGAATGTTGGTCCCAGAGTTAAAATTATTGCTGCAGCCACACAGAGAGACCATCCCAGTTTCAAGTCTGATTGCCTGGTTTAAATCAAGTGTCTTCCCTATTCACTTGGCTATGGCCCCGGGCTGGGCGTAGAAGGCTTTGAGGTCCACAGTGGGAGAGATGGGTCATGGGCTAGTTAGAGCGCTCCAGGGAAGCGCACAGAAAGAGAAAGGGGATGTGGAGCTTATCATAAACCTGTAACCGCACATGTGAAATTCTCAATTGCCACCCTTTTTTCCCTAACCTGTGGAGTGGGTCTTATTTTCACAACCCTAGAATATTATGATGCCTGAGATCCACAGTGAAATGTTCAATAAAAAACAGGCAGTATGCTTCACTGGTTTTTCCACTTTAGTAAAACCACCCAACATCTTGGGAGGCTGAGGCAGGAGGATCACTTGAACCCAGCAGTTTGAAACCAGCCTGGGCAACATAGCAAGACCTCGTCTCTACTAAACATAAAAAATAAAAAATAAGGCATGGTGTCTTGTACCTGTAGTCCCAGAAACTCAGGAGGCTGGGGTGAAAGGATTGCTTGAGCTCAGGAGGTCAGGGCTGCAGTGAGCTGTGACTGTGCCACTGCACTCCAGCCTGGGTGACAGAGTGAGACCCCTGTCTCTAAAAACAATTCCAAAAAAAACCCCAAACCAGTCAACCAAACAAAAACCATAATAACACATTGAATTAAGCATCCACCTTTTCCTCTTTCACTTCAGTCTGCCTACGCCAGAAATTAAAAAAAAAAGACAGTAGATTATTACATGTTCATTTAGTCCTTCTATGTGCTCAGCTCTGTGGAAATCAATATCAAGGAAACAAAGGAAGCATAAGAAATAGATCTGGAGAAAAAGGGCTTGTTATTTATTGGAAGAATAAAATGCCGGATTGAGGATAAGACTATACCAGGTTAATTTTTAAATACAACCTATCAGCATGATACATATAATATCACAAAGTTCTTGATGAGTGAAATACTTGGGGTGCTGTTCTCTCTTGGGCCTCATGTGCACCTGCTGAGTCAGTCTTCCAGATGCAGAGAGGGGATAAGGTTCACCCTATATAACTCTCCTCCTTCCCCAGAGAGATAGGAGAAAGGCCAGTGAGATTGGGGCAGAAACCCTAAGAAACGCCTGGCTGGGAAGAAGGTGGATATGGTTTTTGAAATCAAATTTATTATACTTCTTTCTCCATTATGCCATACTGCTGTCCATGGATCTATGAGTGATGATAATTGCTCTATTTTTCTGAGCTTTAGCCTTTGTAATTGTCCTATAATGATAATATATTTTACATGGTAATACGCTAATAAGAATACTATATATAAGATTAGGTGAATTGTATTTGACAAATTTAATTTTAAAAAGCCAACAGGAAAAACCACATCCCAATGAGATTAAACGCTGACTTAAGTCCTCAAAGCGGGAAATTGCTAGAAGGTTAATTTTGCCTTTATCTCTGCCCTGCTCCCTACTCCCAGAGGGCTTTGCAGCTGCTCTTAGAGCCTGTACCCCGGAGTCTTTGAAGCACTGTGAGCTCCTGGGTGAGGACGGGTGGACTTCAAAGTGAGCTTTTTCCTAGTTACTGTTATTACTCATCTCTCAATAGGTCCTATAAAGATCAGTTAAGCAGATGGAATCTAAATGAATGAGTTTAGAGGTTTGTGGGGAAAGTTGATCAATAGGTTTAAAAATAATTCCTTGTTTCCTGGCTCTGGGTCATTTTCTCCTTCTTTTATACGTAGCTCAACAGAGCAAAATCTCTACTGGTTTTTGACAGGAAGAGGCTGTGTGATTTTTTCAGTGTATTGGTGGTTTCCAAGCTTGGTTATGTAAGAAAAATTATCTCAAGATGTTTGATAAAATTCTCAAAGCTGAATTTGAATGTTGAAGGTAAACATGTCACATCTAGCTTTTGAGGAGGTGGAATGGAGTCTCCTTCAGAAATATTACCAGAAAGGGAGACCATTCTGCTTGCTGTCTGCCTGCCATACTTCTTAAGGGTGTGAAGGAAGCAACTTCTGTTTTAAAGATTCACTGGAAAAACAGCTACAATTTTATTATAAAGTACATATAAAATATAAATTTAATGCTACTAGGAAATATAGTATTTTTCCTCTTAACTGTAATTATACCCTGTATTGTACACAGAATATCCTGTCTGACGTGGGAATGATTAATTTTATCTGTCAATTTTGCTGGGCCCCCATGCCCATATATTTGGTCAAACACTACTCTGGATGTTTCTGTGAGGGTGCTTTTGAATAAGATCAACATTTAAATTAATGGGGCTTTGAGTAAAGCAGATGGCCTTCCATAATGTGGGTGGGCCTTATCCAAGCAGTGAAGACTGGAGTAGAACAAAAGACTGACTTCTCCCAAACAGGAGGGAATTCTAGAGCAGATGGCCTTTGGGCTTGAACTGCAATATTAGCTCCTCCCTGGGACTCCAGCAGGATGGCCTCCCTTGCAGATTCTGGACTTACCAGCCTCAATAATAGATTAACCAATTAATGAAATAAATCCCTCTCTCTCTTTCTCTCTCTCTCTCTCTCTATACACACACACACACACACACACACACACACACACACACACACACACTCCTTGTACTCAAAAGCAAAGCTGAAATTTCAAGATTTGATGAAAAATACAAAATAGAATCAATCACCCTGCCCAAGTTTGTATACCCTTCACATGAAGTAACTTATTACCGCCATCTTACAGTTACCTTACTGGACCTAGAATAACTGATGCTAGATCAAGGAAACTATTTGTGTGGGAAGTAATCTAAAAATGCTCTTTCTTGACTATTACATAAAAAAATGTAATATATTCCTATTAGATTGAACCAAATGAAAATGCTCCTTTAAAATAAGTCAGACACATTCAAATATCAGCAATTTCGTGTGGTTCAGTCTGACAGATCAGAGATTGAACTAAATATGGTACAAGGAACCTTGTCTGCCACAAATTTACAATCTAATACTTACTAAAATGTGTCCCATGTAATCTACTTCTTATCACAGCTTTTGTTCTAATTTATTAAGTGCTTGCTTAAATAAAGCACCTTTTAAATTATTTATAAACTTGTACACTTAAGACACAGTATTTTAAAGGAAATAATACAGTCTCTACCATTTAAATAAAATTTTAAGGGGAGCTATCTTAAAGGTGCCTCTTTTTTTTTTTTTCATTTTCTCCTTCTTTATATTTTCCTTTAAATAATGGAACTCAACCTCTCTATTTGTCAGGGTTCTCCAGAGAAACAGACCAATAGGAGGTATATATATATGTGTGTCTATGTGTGTGTGTGTATATATACATATATACATATACATATGTATATATACATATATATACATATATACATATACATATATATACACATATATACATATACATATGTATATATACATATATACATATACATATGTATATATACATATATACATATACATATGTATATATACATATATACATATACATATGTATATATACATATATACATATATACATATACATATATATACATATATACATACATATGTATACATACATATATACATACATATGTATATATACATATATATACACACAGATACACACAAATAGGAGGTATATATATGTGTGTGCGTGTCTACATATGTGAAATGAAATCTCTCTTTATATATAATGTTAAATATTTCTTTTTCCAAAACACACCACACACACACACACACACACACACACACACACACACATATATATAAATAGATAGATAGACGTATCCAAATTAACATATAAAATTAATCATTCCAACCTCAGACAGGATACTCTATGTATAATACAGGGTATAATTGCAGTTAAGAGGAAAAGTACTATATTTTTAGTTTACTTCCCACACAAATAGTTTCCTTAATCTAGCATCAGTTATTCTAGGCCCAGTAAGGTAACTGTACAATGGCGGTAATAAAATACTTTATGTGAAGGATATAGAAACTTGTGCAGGGTGATTGATTCTATTTTGTATTTTTCATCAAATCTTGAAATTTCAGCTCTTCTTTTGAGTACAAGGAAACACCCTGAAACCAGAGACAAACTCTCTTTTCCCTCTTAATTCCATGGTATGGTGACTGGCTGTGGGCCAGGTGTTTACACTGATGCTATTGAAGTGCCAGTTGATGTTCAATATGTCTCTGAGGTGGTATTGATAAACTTGCACAAGAATAATTTATGACATCCCTAGTGATTCATAGTAGAGCAAGATCTATAACTATGTAACAGTTCCTGACATTTGGATAGCATTTCACAGTTTAGAAAACTCATTCTTCTTTCATCTTTGCACAAACATCATAGAATACATTGTCTTTCCCATATTTATAATGGAGAAGAGGCAGTTCAGAGAGCTGAACTTACTTGCTGAGGTAACATAATGGCAGGGACTGGAACTACAACCCACTCCAGGAATTGCTGCTTACCACCTTGGAATTGATTGCCAACTTTCTTACAACTTGCCCTTCTTCTTCCAATTCAGCTCTACCCATTTTGTGGATCAACTCATTACTGGACCACAAATTGCGGAGGTTAGCAGGATTCTGTGAACATTTTCAGGGATGTGTTTCCAAAGAAAATTTTAGCAGCTCACTACTGTGTCCTAGTACATGGGCTTGGCTGTCTCTGGGCTTGTTCTTTTTCCAAAACACAGTGCTAACTTTGCAAACTGCCCATAACATGCAGGCACTTGGAAAACCCAGCCATCTGCATGCATCTGAGCTAGCACCAACGCCTCACAGCAGCCAGCTGTTTCCAATGCAACCTCACTTGCCTAGTGCATTCAAAGAGGAGACAACATCAAGATATCCCTGTAGCTGTAGTATAGAAAGCTGTATTTGGAAACTGGAAAATGTGGGAAGAAAGATTTGTGAGGGCCTTGCTAAAGCTCTGCCTCAAGTGCTGAAGAACAACAGGGAGTAAGTGGGCAATATGTGGCCATTAACCAGCCTGGCTCTTAACTAATGTGAATGGAAGAGTCCTTTACGTAAGTCTCAGAGAACATGCGCTGGAGTTCCAGAGCTATGCCTGACTTTGCTTTGTGTCTGCCTGAGGGCTATGCATAGAGCTCAGCACATAGATGACAGGAAAAATGGTCAAGGTCAGCAGAATGTTCTTTGTGGTCACAGGATGACGTTGCCTCTATAGTTAAGGAAAAATTACCAACCTCTTCCTTTCAATATGCTTCAGCACTCTTCCTGGTGTCTTTCTCTGAAGGAAAAAAAGTGCAATTCTCCTTTGCTATTTGGTGTCTGAATCTCTCTTCACTACTGCAAAAACTCACAGAGCTTGTGAATATCTTCAAATTTAGTTCACAAGATTCCTAATTATATATTTTCTTTCTTGTAATTTATTTTTCAGGCCTCTGCCTAGACATTTATAGCTGTTTCATTCTTTTTGGCTCAGTGCCACCGGGACAATTCTGGCACAAAACAAACATTAGCAGACTAGAATACAAGATCAATCTCTTATCTTAGTAATTACCACCCATTTCTGCTGACAAAATCTTCAGGTCTTAAAGAGAAAACAAACAGTTTATCTGAAAAGCAGAGGAAAGATTTGTCTGTAATTTTGCCTCTCTGGGTTTGCACTATCAGGAGAATTTTTAGTACTGACTTTTCTGTTTGGTGTACACTTTAAACAGCAGTTGTGGTAACAAAGTCATTTCTGGGCTTCAGTCTCACAGCTAATACACTAAGCCTTGGTTTCTCCATCTGTAAAGTTGGGATAATCATAGCCACCTCATGGTGTTGGAAGATCAAATGAGATAATAAATGAGAACACACTTTATAAGCTGTAAAGTGCTATATGAGTTTTAGCTATTAGCTGTGGTGATGGGGATTATAATTTTTGGAAGTTAGAGAGTCTCTGCACTGTCAGTTCTAAGTTGCCCTTTCCGTTTTTTGCTCACTTATGATGAATGAATTTGTTTGTAGGTTTTACAATAAGAACACACACATGCACACGCACACATGCACACACACACACGATTCTTTGTAGATTTCTGAGAATGTGAAAATCTTCATTTTTAAAATTGTAAGACCACATAGTTCTGAGAGGTTTTGGCAAACTATAGCCCATGGACCAAATGTGGCCAGCTTCCTGTTTTTGTAAATAAAGTTTTATTAGAACACAGTTTATTGGAATAAGTATACCCACTTGTTTACTTGTGGTCTATAGCTGCTTTCAATGTGCAGTGGCAAGAATTGAGAACTTGCAATAAAAACTGGATGGCGGTTGGGCGCAGTGGCTCATGCCTGTAATCCCAGCACTTTCAGAGGCCAAGATGGGCAAATTGCTTGAGCTCAGGAGTTGGAGACTAGCCTGGGCAACATGGTGAAACCCCATCTCTACAAAAAATAAAAATAAAAACTTAGCCAGGCATTGTGGCATGCGCCTGTTGTACCAGCTACTTGGGTGGTGGGAGGATCACTTGAGCCAGGGAGGTTGAGGCTACAGTAAGCCACAATTTTACCACTGTACTTCAGCCTGGGAGACAGAGGGAGACCCTGTCTCAAAAAAAGACTCATGGCTTACAAAGCCAAAAATATTCACTATCTGGCTTTTTATAGAAAATCATGACCTCTCAATTAGATCAAAGGATTTTGGTAAAATAAAAGGGTTCGGTGAAATGGACATTTTGATACACTGGTGGTATGAAAGGTATGACCTTTCTAAAGGACAATGTGAAAATATGTGCCAAGAGTTTGGAACTTTTATAACCATTTTTAGTCACTGAATACAAGTACAATGAATGTTAACAGTGTTTACTTCCGAGATATGGACTTCAAATGCTTTTGAAAACAAACAAAAGCTTTCCTAACTTTTAAAATTCTCTGCTGACATTTAAAAATCTTTATAAAGACCACATAATAACACAAACATGTCAACTTACATGATGTTGGTGGGAAAATATGCTCCTAGTTCAATGCCGTTTTAGTGGTAGTTGTTTAAGGAGCTATAGAGTAAAGCCTTTTGGTATGTGGATGAGCATCCTGTAATTTATTTACTTATTTTTCAGCTATAGAGCCTGTTTAGTTTTCTTTTAAGTTGAACAGATGCTAGGTGTTAAGTTCCTCTGTGCTCCTTGCTATGAAATGCTTCTGCTTCCCTTGTAATTGATTACACACACACACACACACACACACATACACAAACACACCTTCCATAGACCCAAAAGGGCAATTCAATATTAGTACCAATTGTTTTTTAAATCTGCGCTGTCAACTTTTCTTTTTCTGGAGCAATTCATTTCATGTTGAAAGTCCTGATGTTTAACTAACAGTCTTTTTTTTTTTTTTTTTTTTTTGAGACAGAGTCTCACTCTGTTGCCCAGGCTGTGCAGTGGCGTGATAGATCTCGGCTCACTGCAAGCTCCGCCTCCCGGGTTCACGCCATTCTCCTGCCTCAGCCTCCCGCGTAGCTGGGACTACGGGCGCCTGGCACCACGCCCAGCTAATTTTTTGTATTTTTTAGTAGAGATGGGGTTTCACTGTGTTAGCCAGGATGGTCTGGATCTCCTGACCTCGTGATCCACCCGCCTCGGCCTCCCAAAGTGCTGGGATTACAGGCGTGAGCCACTGCGCCCGGCCTCAGTCTTTTCTTTGGTAGACAAGAATTATGGTGGCTGGATGAGTTATTTTAAAGATTCAGCAAAATTGTTTCTGATAGAACAGCTACAATTGCAATAGCAAAACTTTGCCCCCAAAAGGAAAAAAGAAATTAAAAAAGAAAAAGAAAAGGAATACAAGTTAAGAGCCCTTGCTATGGCTTAAAAATGACTTTAAACTGGAATCTATTTGCATTTATTATTCTTTTGTAGTCAGTATACACTATAGTCAGTGTAGTCAGTGATAGATCCTTTCATTGGTATCTTACATTCTTCCTCCAGAGATAAATGCATCTGGGAAGGTGGTAACCCATAGCAACCAGGCACTATGTGAGAGTGGCAAACTAACTTGGAGGTGTGCTTAATATTTTCTTGGTGAGGAAACCTTATGTAAATGACTTCTTTTTTTTTAAATAATTCTCTAGGAATGCACTGTGTCAAGTTTCATAATGAATGCACTGTAAGAAATGCTACTAGTCGAAGGCACTTACTCAACCTTCGAAGTTCAATTTCAAGTCTGCACAACTGTATTAGAAGGTCTGGGGGCTTCTAAATGCAAAACACGAAGTGAGTGCTATGCAAAAACCTGTGTTTTCTCACATTTAGAGGGGCAATTTTGGTGATTACAAAGTGACTTTTGCTTCAAGAGTCAGGAACTAGGCTCATTAAAAAAAGACTGTATTCTGTGTATATGCTGATGGAGATAAGCACGCATGCATAACATGATTTATAGATAAATATGTCCCTGAGTAGTGATGGAGTGTTACTGTCTTGGCTGGACTGGATACCTTAATGAAAAATTTTGAGAAAGGCCTGTCTTTCCCACCTGCAACACAAACACAGCACAAGATGGTATTTGCTTTAGTATAGAAATGGAATGGCTATTGTTTCTATTTTTACTGTTAAATTTCTCTGCAAAATAGGAAAGCTCACTAAACTGATAATTAAATCAGAGAATATAGACAAAGCATGAACTAGTTAGGATGTAGGAGAAAGGTCTCATTGTACTTCATTCTCTAGAACAAAACTCAATGGCAACTCTTCTCAAATAAAAAGAAGCCATTCAATTTTTAAGGATAAAACATTAATGGTGACTCTTCACATTTGCAAAATGTACCTTCATTCCAAGGATCATAACACATGGTGGCCTTGTTGTTAATTATACCTTGCCCTGTGAATTAAATAACAGAGCAGATTTTACCACATGGGGAAAAATGTCATTATAATACCTAAAGGGGTATACGTGCGTGTGTGTGCGTGTGTGTGTGTGTGTGTGTCAGAGAGAGATATGTAGATACTTTGTGTGTGTGGTTGTGATATACATGTATGTATATATTTTGAGATCCCTATGTATGTGTGCTTGTGATATATATATGTTTACATATGTGCATATATAACATACATATATACACATACATACTACAGAATTATTTGCAATAGCAGAAAACCTTGAACACAATGTTTATCAATAAGGAATGGGCTATGTAAATGATGAGACTATACAGGTTTTTAAAAGAATGAAATAAATCTCTGTGTTAATATGAATGTTTTACAAGTTATAAAATTAAGTAAAAAGAAAAAAGTGCCGAACAGTATGAATGATTCCATTGATATAAATAAAAGGATATATACACAGACATACATATACTAGTCAATTTCAACTTTTTGGTTTTGGAAGGATACATAAAAATTTTTGTTAATAGTTAAATGTGGGGAGAAGGAGTGGAATTTGGGGGAGAGAGAATTCTACATCTCATCTTATGTCTTTCTAAATTACATGGATTTCTATGATGTGTGTGTAAGACTTTTGTCATTTAAAAACATTAAGGCTTAACTAAGGGGTAGAACTTATGTTTTGTCCTATACACTTCTTAGCATTTGAAAATATCTAATGTATGTTATTAAAAACAACATTTGTGAAGTATAGTGACAATTGACAGACTTTTTAGCTATATGAAATAGGAAGAGAATGTTAGTTTTCCTCCCTTTTTGTTCTACAGTTAATAACGAAGTCAAAGGAAATGCAGTGCCATCCTGAGCCCTGCAGTCATTTCTGTTATCCATGCTGCCTACCTGTAGAGAGTAAATCCAGCAGAGAGTGCTCTCTGCAGTTATATTTGACAAATGTATTTAACCACCACAGTCCCTGGTTATAATTTCACATTCTGACGATGCACAGAGTTGAACAGATCTAATACCCAGTAGTCTGATAATTGAAGGCTTATAGTTCAGGGCTTAAATTTCCTAGTGTCTTCAAATTCCATAATTAAGAGAGCCCAGAATTAAGAGAGCTGTGAATTCTCTCACACAGAAGAAAGCAGAGAAGGAATGCAAAGATTGGTGTAAGATCCAGTTTCAAGTAGGGACCACCTATAACATTTGATTTCTAAATTGTATGTAGATAGTATGTCTCCAATAAGTATATCAGTACAGCACTAACCAATACATAAACATTTTAAGTCATGTTTTGAGACAAATCAGAAGGAAATATTACTAATACCTCCTACTTAGGGGCTTGTGATTTAGACAACTTTGGAGTTAGCTCATTTTTACCTTATCCATAGAATCAATATTGTGAGAGAGATTAACCCCAAGTCTCTAGGACTCCCCTATCTGGGAATTCAGTGGTGGACTGCAGACATGTCAAATGGCTAAAACAATGTTGTCTTTATCTACTTATTTCTCTCCCACTTTGCATGTTCGTGTAATTCTCTCTTACAGCATACGTGCCTTTTTTCTGTGTAATAAACAATGGTTGCTGCAAAGCCTCAGATCATAGTTATACTTTTCTGTCAAACAGATAAGGAGAGTCTTTTTTCCAATGGGCATTATTAGAATGGTCCAGGGAGGACCTCTTGGGCTCTTGAGGATCATGTGGCAGTTCCATAGCTAATTGTGGGTTTTAGAGCATGTGGTTCTGTGACTGGCCTGGCTTGGCTGCCCACTTCTGTAGCTGAGACTAGTGACTGAGGTGATATCATGATTGGCAGCCCAATGAAGTTCTCCTAGGGAAACAAGAATAACTGTCTCTGTGAAGAAACAGCATTTAGGAAATAAAAAAACTACAGCTTTCATAGTCTACTATTGGTGATGTCAGAAGCCATTGTTTCCCCTTCTTGCTTATCTTAAATGTAACTCTGTTCAATCCTGCTTATATCTACAAGTGGACTGAGGCAAGGATTAACAGAGTATTTGGGAACTCCAGTTTTCTAGTATCTCTTGTTAATACAATAAATTCTTAAATCTATTGCCTTCTCTGAGAAGTTTCTCTCGTATTTTGAAGTATTGAGAATCTTCAAAGCCATGCCTATTCTATCGTAATTATTTTTAAAAGATCTTTGTCCTCCTAACCCTGATATTAATAAAGATTGTTGAGAAACATAATTAAAACAAAAAGAGGTTTAATAAGTTACTTAGGTGGCACATCAAGCAAAAGCCAGAGCTTAATCACAAACATAGAGTTTATATCTTACAGTTTTACTTTTATTATTTTAAGAAGGTGAAGGGAAACCCCCAAACCCAAGTAGAACAAACCCCAGTGGGAGGTTTGGCTTTTAGGACCAATTGTTATGTAATCAGAGACCACTATTACTTTATGGCCTGGCATTGGTTACAGATGAATGGAAGACATCTGAAAAGTCTATTTCTTTTCTTTTCTTTTCTTTCTTTCTTTCTTTCTTTTTTTTTTTTTTTTTTTTTTTGAGGCAGGATCTCACTCTGTTGCCCAGGCTGGAATGCAGTGGTACAATCTTGGCTCACCGCAACCTCCACCTCCTGGTTTCAACAATTCTCCCATCTCACCCTGCCAAGTAGCTGGGACTACAGGCCTGTGCCGCCACTCCCGGCTAATTTTTGTATTTTTAGTAGAGATGGGATTTTGCTATGTTGACCAGGCTGGTCTTGAACTCCTGGCCTCAAGTGATCCACCCATCTTGGCCTCCCAATGTGCTGGGATTACAGGCATGAGCCACCATGCCCAGCCTGAAAAGTCTTTTTCTTATCTGAGAAATTATTAAAATTTTTTAGACACTGAGTTCTTTTTTGAATGGGGTATTGTAATCAACCCTTTGTGTAGCAATTCAACTAATTATCTTGTCTAGAGTTCTAGGTGCATATTTCTTATTTCCAGAGTTGTTTCAAGGATCATTCTCACTAGAAAGCTCTGATCCAGGACAAATTCCTTCAAGTTGTTCTTTAGGTACAATGACACCTAAATGGCCTCAAAGTATAGTTTAGACAATAAATTATAGAATATCAAAGCTATAGAATCATCACTTTTTAAAATATACTTTCAACAGTTTATTTCATCTTTTTTCTTCTAAAAAATGCATATTTGAGTCTCTTGGTCCAATATTTACGAGAAGAAACAAGTGGGTTTCAGGCATCATTATCTTACTACAGGAGGCAGTAGTTAAGATCATACTAGTTAGAAGTCAGAGAATCCTAAGATTTAATTCTGACTTTGCTGTGTGACATAATTATCTCAATAGATGCAGAAAAGGCCTTTGACAATATTCAACATCCCTTCATGCTGAAAACTCTCAATAAACTAGTTATTGGTGGAACATATCTCAAATTGTCTCTGTTTGCAGACGGCATGATTCTATATTTAGAAAATCCCATTGTCTCAGCCCCAAAACTCCTTAAGCTGATAAGCAATTTCAGCAAAGTCTCAGGATACAAAATCAATGTGCAAAAATCACAAGCATTCCTATACGCCAACAACAGACAAACAGAGAGCCAAATCATGAATGAACTCTCATTCACAATTGCTACAAAGAGAATAAAATACCTAGGAATACAGCTATACCTCTTCAAGGATAACTAAAAACTGCTGTTCAAGGAAATAAGAGATGACACAAACAAATGGAAAAACCTTCCATCCTCATGGATAGGAAGAATCAGTATCATGAAAATGGCCATACTGCCCAAACTAATTTATAGATTCAATGCTATTCCCATCAAACTACCATTGACATTCTTCACAGAATTATAAAAAACTACTTTAAATTTCACATGGAACTGAAAAAGAGCCCATATAGCCAGGACAGCCCCAAGCAAAAAGAACAAAGCTGGAAGCATAACGCTACCTGACTTCAAACCTACAAGGCTACAGTGACCAAAACAGCATGGTACTGGTACCAAAACAGACATATAGACCAATGGAACAGAACAGAGGCCTCAGAAATAATACCACACATCCACAACCATCCGATCTTTGACAAACCTGACAAAAACAAGCAATAGGAAAAGGATTCCCTATTTAATAAATGGTGTTTGGAAACTGGCTGGCCATATGCAGAAAACTGAAACTGGACCCCTTCCTTATACCTTATACAAAAATTAACTGAAGATGGATTAAAGACTTAAATGTAAAACCCCAAACCATAAAAACTCTAGAAGAAAACCTAGGCAATACTATTCAGGACATAGGCATGGGCAAAGATCTCATGATAAAAATGCCAAAAGCAATTGTAACAAAAGCTGAAATTGACAAATGGGATCAAATTAAACTAAAGAGCTTCTACACAGCAAAAGAAACTATCATCAGAGTGAATAGGAAACCTACAGAATGGGAGAAAATTTTTGCAATCTACCCATCCGACAAAGGTCTAATATCTAGAATCTACAAGGACCTTAAACAAATTTACAACAAAAAAACAACCCCATCAAAACGTGGGCAAAGGATATGAACAGACACTTCTCAAAAGAAGACATTTATGCGACCAACAAATATATGAAAAAGAAGCTCAACATCACTGATCAGTAGAGAAATGCAAATCAAAACCACAATGAGATACCATCTCACATCAGTCAGAATGGCGATTATTAAAAAGTCAAGAAACAACAGATACTGGTGAGGCTGTGGAAAAATAGGAACATTTTTATATCATTGGTGGCAATGTAAGTTAGTTCAACCATTGTGGAAGACAGTGTGGCAATTCCTCAAGGATCTAGGACCAGAAATATCATTTGACCCAGCATTCCCATTACTGGGTATATACCCAAAGGAATATAAATCATTCTACTCTAAAGATAAATGCACACGTATATTTATGGCAGTACTATTTACAATAGCAAAGACATGGAACAAACCCAAATGCCCATCAATGATAGAATGAATAAAGAAGTGTGGCACATATACCATGGAATACTATGCAGCCATAAAAAAGGAATGAGTTAATGTTCTTTGCAGGGACATGGATGAAGCTGGAAGCCATCATCCTCAGCAAACTAATACGGGAACAGGAAACCAAACATCACATGTTCTTACTCATAAGTGGGAGCTGAACAATTAGAACACATGGACACAGGGAGGGGAAAAACACATACCTGGGCCTGTCCGGGGGAGGTGGAGTGAAAGGGGAGGGAGAGCATCAGGACAAATAGCTAACACATACAGGGCTTAAAACCTAGATGACGGGTTGATAGGAGCAGCAAACCACCATGGCACATGTATACCTATGTAACAAACCTCCATGTTCTGCACATGTATCCCAGAACTTAAAATAAAATAAAAAAAGATTATACTACTTAAAAGTCAGAGAATCCTATGATTTAATTCTGACTTTGCTATGTGACAAGTTTCTTGGACAAAGTTTCTTTACCTTTCTGATTCTGTTTCTTTCTCAGTAAACAACAGATGATAGTGCTTAGATAGTATTGTTGCAAATGCTAATGAGTAATATTTGTAAAGGACTTATGTAAGAACCAGGTATGTAGTAAATTCTCATAAATTTACATTTGTTTAAATTGTTATTTTGGCCATTATTATACTTTTTATGTCATAGGAAAAAACCCTGTGAAAATCTATGTAAGATTGTGGTGTTGTCTTCTTTATCAACTTCTGATTCTATGTACTTATTTGTGGAACAAGCTATGTGAACCTGTCTGGAATAATTGATTGTAGAAAATTTTTGTGGTATGTAAGGTGACTACTTTAAGTTTTGCTTAAACCTCACCAGGTATCTCTTTTCAGTTGTTTCTGTACTTGCTCTGAAATTGTAAACATGTTGTCATTATGTCATTGAGTGATCCCTGCTCCTTCCTTGCATTGGAAATTTTTATCAGAGCTTGGTTCTAGGAAAAGCTTTATCTCCCTTGGGAAAGTAGTGGATTTCCTCTTCTCATATCAAAATGTCTTACACAACTTATCACATTTTCCTTAGTCTGGTTTGTCAGGAAGATTGTAGTTGGTCTTTTCACTCAATCACAACCACCTGACTCATTGTTATATTTTGGATATTTACTTTTTCCTTTTCTTTCCAATTAAAAATCTTATTTTAGTAATTTATTTTTCCTTACTTTTGCTGTGCCTCATACAGTTTTGGGAAAGTGGTGAGGCAGAAAAAAATATGTATGCATATGTATATACATCCTCATATAGATTTATTTTGTTAATTTTTATTTGAAAGTTTGACACACAAGTTTAAGTTTTGATATCAGCAACCCCCTTAACCCAACTAGCTCTCTTTTGCCTTTGTTCATTTCTTTCACATTTGTCCAACAAATATTTCTTGTTTCCAATTGATGGGATTTTAATTTTTATTTTTAAATTGACACAAAAAATTTTATGGGGTAAATAGTCATGCTTCAATACCTATAATGAATAGTGATCCACCAGGGTAATTAGCATATTACCCTGGATTTCATCACCTGGCACATGTATTATTTCTTTGTTTTGGGAACATTCAGTATCTGCTTCTAGCTATTTGAAACTATATAATATGTTAGTGTTAACTGTAGTCATCTCACAGTGCTATAAAACACTAGAACTTATTCCTCCTATCTGGCTGTAGTTTTGTATCCTTTAACAAATCTCTACCCATCCTCACCCTCTCCCTACCCTTCCCAGACTCTAGTATCCTCTGTTCTTTTTACTTCTATGTGATCAACCTTTTTTAGCTTTTACATATGAATGAGAGCATGTGGTGTTTAACTTTCTGTTCTTGGTTTGTTTCACTTAGCAAAATGTCTGCCACTTCTATCCATGTTGCTACAAATGACAGCATTTCACTCTTTTTAATGGATGAATAGTATTTCCCGGTATATGTATACTACATTTTCTTTATCATTTATCTATTCTTGGACAGCTAGGTTGATTCCATATGTTGGCTATTGTGAATAGTATTGCAGTAAACATGGGGGTGCAGATATCTCTTTGATGTACCGATTTCTTCCTTTTCTTTAGAGAAACGCTCAGTAATGGGAAAGCTTCTGTACAGCAAAGTAAATAATCAATGGAGTGAAAAGGCAACCTATGGAATGGGAGAAAATATTTGTAAACTATTCATCCAACAGGGGATTAATATCCAGGATATACTAGGAACTCAAACATCTCAACAGCAAAAACCCAAACAGCTTGATTAAAAAATGGGAAAATGATCTGAACAGACACTTCTCAAAAGAAGACATACAAATGGCCAACAAATGTATGAAAAAAATTATCAATATCCACTAATCATCAGGGAAATGCAAATGAAAACCACAGTGAGTTATTATCTGACTCCAGCTGAGGATGGCTATTATCAAAAAAACAAAAATTAACAAGTTCTGGCAAGGATGGGGAGACGAGGCAGCTCTTACACACGGTTGGTGGGAATGTAAACTAGTACAGCCATTGTGAGAAGGTTCCTCAAAAAAGCCACAGATGGGCTGGATTTCAGGCGGACGAGGTTTCCATAAAAAGGAATCAAAGTATCATCAGTGAGCTTATGTCCTACTAGGGGATATGGACTCTTGAGAGGAAGTACAGACCTAATGAGATCAGAGTTGCTTCCATTTAAAAAGTTTAAAATTTGATAACCATGCTGTTAATTTTGATGGAAAAATGACAGCCTAGGAGAAAGACCTGGGCTTTTTGTTGTTGTTATTGACATTATTGCTGAATCTGTTGGGATTCCACTAGCTTGCCCATAGCCTCAGGAGAAATTGGTTTTTCTGTTCGTTATCTTGGTGCCTTTTCTATAATAGCTACAAATAAGATATCTTTTCATATCTGTGAGGAAAGGGAATGAATTTTATTTTGTCACATCCCTGACTATGCTCTTAAAGACAGGGAGAAAATATAGCTTAAGAACCTCTGGTTATTGAATCCCATTTTCTTGTCATTTTGTACCATACTTTCGGGATGTTTCTCAGGGCAACTTACTATCAGTGGTTAATGTTGTCCTATTTTCCTTCTCGTGGTTTTTTTTAAAAGACAACAAGAGGCCTTTTATCCTATTTCATGAGGAAATGCAATGTATTATTAATCACGATTATTTTATTTATAAGCCAACACTGCTTTGGAAGGGCCAGAGCCCCACTAAGGATGATTCTTCCTGCTTTCAAGTCAGGAGCCTCTTTAGGGTTGTTTCTTTTCACCTCAGAGAATGTTTCTTTACTTGAACATAATAGTATATTTTATTTAGGAAAGCTGTTCTTTTGTGTTAGGGATAATCGTACTCATTTGGATTTATTTTCTCAATGTCTGTTGAACTACCACTCTGAGTTTTATGCCATGTTGGGCCCTGGACTGAATGTAGCTGCCTTATGCTGTGCTTTTAAACTCAGTAAAGTCTAGAAGTAGGAATATACGATAGTTAAGGAAGTTATATCATTTTTGTTGATCTCTTAAACTTTGAGTCTAAGAACAGGTACTACGTATGGGAGGGACTTTAGTATTTGCTGTTGATCCTGATTATTAAAGTCGGGGTGACCAATTATCTCGGTTTTAGCACTGAAAGTCCTGGGTCCCAGGAAACCGCTTAGTCTTGGACAGATTAGGATATTTAGTCACCCTAACTCTGAAGCTTAAACAGAACCTGTGCCATAAAATAGCCATAATGTAGTTTTAGACAGTTGGATCCTAATTTCTAGTGAGGCTATCTTAAGCACAGTATTTTACTTGCAAAGAATAGACAACTACTTATCAGCTTAAGAAAAGAGAGTTTATTATAAGAAGTCTTACTGAAATCAAAGAAAACTGAGCAATCATACTCTAGGAAAGGTGAGACTCAGGGTGACTCTGAGGATCTCAGCAGCTCAAGTTCAAGGAATTTTAATCTAGTATTCTGCTATTAATACGAGCTAGCTCCAAACTCCCTCAGGTTCTAAGTCCCTTAGTTCAGATTTTAGAGAACAAGAATATCATTGACTCAAACGTGCCTGTGGATTGGTTCCTCTGAAGTTTTTACCCAAATTTGGTTCATTTAGTAGTGGATGGGAGCCCAAGTAGGAATCACTGCAATTGACTGCCCAGCATCTAGCTCACCCCAGGTACCATGGTAATTCCATTCCCTTTGCCTGTAGTTGGTTTGGGAATGGACATGTGACCCAATTCTGGCCAATGAGACCTGAGGGGGGATTTTCTGGAGAACTTCTAGAAATAGTTCCTCAGTCCTCGGACTCAGACACGATGTCCTCTTGGATACTGCTATATCTACTTGTATTGTCTGGAATTATGGCACCTATTGGCTATTGTGAATAGTGCTGCAGCCTGAGGATGAAAGCAACACAAGAAGGGCAGAACAGAGAGAGAGAAAAATCTTGAGTCTTGAATGGCGTCTTTGAGCCACTGAATCAACCCAGTCTGCCCCACTTCTGGATTCCTTGTAATTAGAAAAATTTAGAAAATTTATTATTTAAGCCAATTTAAGACATGTATAATGTATCCTGTATCCTAAAGTATATAACACATCCTAACAAACACCGACTGGGTCGTGGGTTAGCAGGGCTCCTCCTTTGGATGGAATATATTTGTTAGGAAAGCAGGAAAAGAAAGAAAATGAGAGGTATAATTTCCACATGGGTAAACCAGAGATGTAGTACAACTCTTCTTTTGAACCTCTGCCTTAATGAATTGATGCTTGTTTTGAGTGTGCTGGGTACATTCCCTCTATCCTTAAAGAGAATAAAATATCCTATGACCTTTTACCCACAAATATCTTGGCTCTAGTAATAATCTAAGGAGGGCCCAATAGTCAATGAGCCCTGCTACCTATTAGCTGCCAGAAGGAAGGACCTCAAAAATAGGATAATCATGATAGACTAGACATCTAGTATTAACTGAATTATAATTAACCCCATTCAGAAATGTAACTTATCTGGTTACTCAGGATAAACTTAGCAAGCAGTTCATTTTAGAGCATATGCACAGAAGTTTATTAATCAAGGGTAAATATTTTGCAGGTGTTTTACTGATATATATATATATATTTATTTATTTATTTATTTTAAATGACCAAGTAGTCATTTGATAGTATCTATTTTTATAACTGTCCAGGCTTAAAATATTTGGGCCATGTTTTCATGTTTGTGTCATTGAGATTGTTGATTAATCTGTGTGTTAGAATGGGAGAATCTTGGACTTCCCCAAGGGAGGAGGGAAGCTCTATCTAAAGGAGAATATTTTTTCCAGATCATCCAAGAGCCTGTCTCAGAAAAATATGACTGGCTGTTAAAGCATATGGTCAGCACTAGCTTCACAGATGTGTGATCTATGCAATCATGCACACCCCCACTCTCAGAGAGACCTCTCTGGGTTAAATATTCTTCTGTAGCCATTTTGAAATTCTTAATGATTGTGAACAAGGAGTCCCATAGTTTCATTTTTCACGAGATCCCATGCATTGTGTAGCTGGTCCTGTATAAGATTCTGTAGTTATCTGGATCTGGTAGCATCAAGTAGTTATATTCTTGGTCCAGGTCAGGAAATAGAATTTTGAATGTTTCCCTTAGTTCTTATCAAAAGCTCATAGAACAGCATTTGAAGAAACTGTCTGAAGGATTTGTGGCCTCTCCAAACTCTTCTAAACATGCTAAAATCAATTTCTGGATTAAGCCAGACTGGGTACCAACAGTGTCTGCACCTCATCATTTGCTGCTCTCATTCTCTATCTCCCATTGCTTTATTGAATTGCTCTTTGGGAAACAGCCCTCATATTGAAGGATGTCTAAAAAAGACTATATGACACTCATAGTGTATTTGGAAAGATGTTGAGGGTATTTATAGCATTATCCGCTATTCTTACTATGAAGATAAATAAAAGACATTTCTCTTTGTTCTAGTACCAAAAATAGCTGTGTTTTCTTGACCAGTTTAACTGGTTTATCTCTCAGAATCACTTGATTTTGTTGCCCTATTTGTCTTGGTTGCTAGGAAGGTTGGAAACATAACTAACTACTGAATTCACAAACCTCATATTTTGCATTTTGTGTAATAACTTAATCTTTGCTTTCATCTTCTACACCTCATTCTCCCCCTGCCTTCATTTTCTCACCTACTAATTTTTTTAATAGCATTCTATTTTTGTCCTAGTGTACAATTTTATAAGCTTCCTTTGGTTTTTTTCTGGAATATGGTAATATCCATATATTACCTATTAAAAAAGTTACTTCTTATTTATATCATGTTCCCACCTGGGAACATATAAGGGAAACATTTTTAAAGTAATGGTAAGATTAGAGGAATGAAGAACAATGATGGTGTTTTATTATGTGGAGATACAAAAGAGTACTTTTACAATGGTGTTAATGTGAAATATGATAAGAAAAATATTTGGTAATAATAAACTATGACTTGAAATAGATAGAGTCTTACCCTGTGTAATCAATTGTATTTGAGTTTCAATTCACAATGACTGTTGAAAAAAAATTCCTCCATCTCTTTGTGTCTCCTTCTTATCTCTGGAGTAGATATTGACATAAGATATGTCTCCAAATATTTATGAGAGGTGTTTAACATTACTAGAGTTAAAAAAGAATTCCTTCAGTATAGCTAGTTTTGTAAGCACAAATAATTATTATTGATTTTTAATAAAGCTACTATTATTTCAATGTTTCTTCCATTTATTTTTGGTAAAGAATGGAAGATTGTTAGCATAGTGCATATAAAGTAACTTTAGGAAGAAATACATGAATTGTGATATGTAGCTGTATTTTCTTTTCTTCTTTTTTTTTTTTTTTTTTTTTGAGACGGAGTCTCTGTCACCAGGCTGGAGTGCAGTGGTGCGGTCCTGGCTCACTGCAACCTCTGACTCCCCGGTTCAAGTGATTCTCCTGCCTCAGCCTCCTGAGTAGCTAGGATAACAGGCATACACCACCACGTCCAGCTAATTTTTGTATTTTTTTAGTACAGCCGGGGTTTCACCATGTTGGCCAGGATGATCTCGATCTCCTGACCTCGTGATTCACCCGCCTTGGCCTCCCAAAGTGCTGGGATTACAGACGTGAGCCACTGCTTCCGGCATGTAGCTGTACTTTCTTATTTTGAAACTTGCATTGTCTTGTTTTTCTCATGACATTTTTGTTCTTATAATTCATTCAGTATTCATTCAAAAATATTTATTCAGGATCTATTATGTAGCAGACATTATTTTAGGTGATAGGAATACATCAGTAAACAAAAAGTTCCCTGCCCTCATGATGCTCACACTCTAGCGATTTCCTCCCAAGTCATCTACATTTATTTCTTGAGTGTATGTCCTTTTTCCAATGCTATATTTTCTTACTAGTGTGTTAAAATCATCGTTACCTGAGATATAACAGTTGTCCATGTTTAGGGTTTTCATCCTCCTTCTTTACTGATCGGATAGTTAGAAGTTTCACCCAATTTGCTAGTGAACTACATATTTTACTGATTATGGGGGTTATGTGGTGTGCTTGATTTGTGCTAATTTACATAATTTTCTGATGAATCTACATATTAGCCTTTTGACCTTTGCACTTCTTCAAATGTAGAGGATAATTAGTCTGCACAATTTGATAGAAAATAGTCCACATCTGCTATTTTTTTTCTTTTGCCTCAATTAACACACTTCTGATAATATATAGATTTTCTTCCCAGCTAAATATGAATAAGTTACTTTCATTCTGGTAGGCACTGCACCATTGAGCATTGTCCATATTTAAAAAAAAAACTATGCCAATTTTTGTTCAAAGCAAGTAGAAAAAATATTTTAAGGAATCTGTTAAACGAACATAGAAATTTCTTAGCCTCAGTAGCCTCCTTGTTTAACTATTTAGAGGGAAACAAAAGGGTGATGCTATTTGCAAAAATTCATGAGTTTGCAGTTAGGATTCAAATGAATATGTAGCACAGTGCCTGGTTAGATGAGGATTTGAAATTTCTTTTCTTGAAGCAATGATATTTAACTAAGTCATTTCTCTGATGAGATAGAGAAAAGCCACCAAGAAATAGCTTTGTTCCAGGATAATTATCCTGGAGGGAAGGAATTACGACCTTTCTTTGGGTGGCTTGACAAAGGCCAAGGAGATGTTAAGCTTTGACCTTATACTTTTGAGGCTCACTGTTCTCAGAAGCTCAGGTGGATTAAGATGGCTCTAGGATGCCACTTTCTTTTCCCAGCCTAAGGGAAACTCATGAGGAAAAGAGAAGTCTCAGTTGGCAAAATGGGTTCAACAGCTGGACTTATAGGTCTGGGTGGAGAGCTGATATTAACGGGTTTAATCTATCTACTACCCTGACTTTGTTTTAGGAACAATGGCTGGTTGTGTTACTATAGCTAAAGAACAAGGAACCTGGGCTTCAAGGGGTCAAGCTGAATGGAGCAGAATCTCATTCCTTGGGAAAACCGGCTTGGCCTGTGCAAGGATCTGAGCTAGCTGGCATAGCCCTCAAACAATGGGGAAGGGCCCTGTGGGCTGGGAGCATTCTGAATAGCCATGTTGTGTGGCTACCACTAGAGCAACATCAACTGAGGAATGAAAATGACTAGTGGGCTGAGTGGGCTGAGCAGAGTTTTTGACTTCTTGATGCAAGGCATTTGGAATATGAATTTTTAGTAAACTTCTAGAGTGGGTGGTGGGTGCTTGAGAGACGTATTTTAAAATTTGACAAAAGAAATGAAGTCACATAATCTGATTACATGTATATTAGTCCATGTGAAGATGTTTGCAAGTGCATTGGCTGCAACCGCTTTTCTAAAGCAGCAAAACATAATTGTGGACACTGTAACAAGGAACATTTCAGCTAGGCAGCATTTGCAGATCAATTGGTAAAATTTCTAATCAGTTCTTTCCCATAATTAATGTGAGTGGTATCATTTTGAATTAAATTGTTACCACTTGATGCGTCTATACATCTTTGTGTAGTTCTTCTTACTGTCGGAGAAAGTCTGTATATCGTTTTAAATCCAAACAGTTCTATAATTTTACAACTCCTCATGAACTGTGGAAAAAAAGTATTTGGTCTCTTCAAAAACTACCTCAAACCACTTCAATCTATGACCTTTTTCTATTCTTTTCTATACATAGAAATAGTTTTCTTAGGATCTAAGAGGGGCTTTATTTGGCTCTCTTGGCCTAAGTTGTCTCATCATAGGGTTTTAGTGTAGAGCTCTTGTTTTTTCTGTGCCCTTAACACTCCAGTAGACATTATGGACTTTTTTTTTTCCATCTCTGTTAAGATTGGTTGTAATGCCCATGGGCCCCAGCAAACTTCCCAAGGGCATGCATGTTACACAAGAGTGGCTCAGCAAAGTGTGAGGACTGGTTTCTCATGGAGCTGAAGGGTGACCTAGAGCACATTTCTCTTTTCTGTTTCAAGATATATATAAAATATTTTGAAAACTAAACATTTAATGGCCATAAAAAAATTCTGGTGATAGGGTAGATTAGATTATCAGAAAAAAACTTTCCTGAAACACATTTTAAAATACTGAAATAAGATATTAAAACTTATATGCATTTATATTATATATGTAATTGAGTGGGAGGCAGAATAATGGAATTCTTCGGATTAAGGTGTGATACAGAAGTTTGACTGCATACAATTAAGCCAAGTTTCAAAGCTGGCCTTGATCTGAAGTATCTGCTGATCACAGGTGGTCCAAAGCTTGGGTTTTAATAGGCCACATATACATGGAAGTGGGAAACAGCCTAGGGGCCCAAGCAGGTTGGAAGGCCAGATCAGGGTTTGAATGTAAACCCACAACCCCCAAAAGGCAATATGCTTAGTGGATGTGGCAGAAAATTTTCTGCCCCAGAGATGATGTGAATATGCACCTACTTTAGTTTCGGCTCGAGTTTGGAACAAAAAAATAAAAATTGCCTCCTCTGATAATTCCTTAGCACAAACCACCATTCACATAGGATTGGGACTTGAATACACACTATGCTGGAGGTGCCAAAACTCTCCAAACTGTGTATTTAGTGTAAGATGGCCCTGGCTGGTATGGCCTCCGGGTGGCAAGTGGAAGCAAAATGAATTCTCCATGAAGGTATGCACTTTAAACAGGACCTCAAACATTCCCACAGATGATGTTCCAAGTAAGATGAACTCATTCATAATTTAAAAAGTCCTTATAGACTGAGAAAATAAGCCACTATGAGAAATAACAGTAACGAAGAACTGTAGAAGCAAATCTGTAAAAACTACAGCACTGAAATGATCAGATATTAAATATATATAACTAAAAAGTTGAGGGTATTCATTTTACTATCAACAGTAAGATGAAGATGCCCAATATTGTTGCTCTGTATTCTCCACTGGGGCAGGAATGAATCAACTGTGGTTTATGTTTGTATTTTTCTAACTAATAAACAAATAATTAAAAACACGACATGTCTGTATTTGTTTTTAGGGCCTCCATGATAAAGTACTAGAGAATTGGTAGCTTAAACAACAGAAATTTATTTCCCCATGGTTCTGGAGGCTAAGTCTAAGGTGAAGGTATTGGCAGGGTTGGTTTCTTCTGAGGCCTTTCTGCTTGTGAGATGGTCATTTTCTTTCTGTGTCTTCACATGATTTTCCTCTGTGTGTCTCTATGTCCAAATGTCTTCTTATAAGGACATCAGTCAATTGAATTAAGGCCTCATTTTTACCTAATTACCTTTAAAAAAAACTTATCTGTAAGTACAGTCACATTCTGAATGATGAAGGGTTAGGACTTCAGTATGTGAATTTGGGGGCTGGGGGGACATAATTCATCCCATAACACTGTCCAAAGGTGATAAGAGCTGTAGGAAAAGTAAAGTGAGAAAGGGGATTAGAAATATCTAGGGGCTGCAATTTTAAATTGGATTGTTAGGAAAGATCTCACTGAGAAAGTGATACAAGCGAAGACCTCAAGGAGGCAAAGAAGCAGTCCCTGCAGAGGTCAGGGGGTTTCTGGTGTCTTCCAGAAAAGCAACAAGATACCATTTCACATCCACAATATCAGCAATAACTAACAGATCTGAGGATACCAATTTTTGGCAAGGATGTGAAGAAATGGGAACTCACATACTGTTGATGGGAAGGATATAAATTGCTATAAATGCTTTGGAAAATATTTAGGCATTTCTAAGTAAGATTGAAGATGATGACATAACAGTTCCATTTTCAGGTATACACACAAAGAAACTTGTACCTAAATATCAGGAGAAAAGTGTAAGAATATTCATGGCAACATGGCAACAATTCATAGCAGCAAAAATTTGAAAAGAACCCAAATGTCAATCAACAGAAGAATAAATACATAAATTTTATAATTAACAAACTACTATATAGCAGTAGAGGTAAGTGAAATATACTTACATGTATCAACATGGATGATTATCAAAAACATAATTTAGGCATTTATACTATGAGCTTCTATGTAAGTAAAGCTCAAAAGCAAAGCTAAACAATTTCATTTAGGGACAGATGCATACACACACACACAAACACACACACACACCCCTCTTTGTGGTAAAAAGCCCCCTTAAAAGCAAAGGAATGATTAACAAAAATTCAAGATGGAGTTCGCTCTGATGAGGAGGGAGGGAGATGGGTTGAGAAAGAGTATACAGGGAAACTTAAAGAGGTTCTTATTCTATTTCATAAGCTGGTTTGTTACTATATAGGTACTTAGATATTCAAATATGAAAATATTTGGCATGTTAAAGTTAGTATAGCTAAAGTATATAAATCAGAAATTACAGGAATTAGCACATAGAAGATGGGTTAAGAACAGATTTTTGTTTTCGACATCTGGTGATTGGGTATGTATATCCCCCTAAAATCAGTGTGAGAAAACAGTGTTTTCTTTAAACACAGCCTGAAGTCTACATGTTGTTTTGTTTTGTTTTTTCCGTTTAAGCAGATATTTTCTATGAGAATTGGGGAAATGTTACATAATTCTTTATTGCAACATTAATGCTATATTTATTAATGTACTTTTTCATACATTAAAACACTAACATTTTATGTCTTAAAAATGGAGAAGCAGATTCAGCACTAGGCAGAATCCAGACCGCAGTCTAACTCAAAGCAGGCAAAGTTTCAAGTACTGGGCGGGCATGATTAACCCTTATTTAGACATCTGTTTCTTTTTTTTTTTTTTTTTTGTGACAGAGTCTTTCTCTGTCACCCAGGCGGGAGTGCAGTGGCACGATCTCGGCTCACTGCAACTTCCGCCTCCCGGGTTCAAATGATTCTCCTGCCTCAGCCTCCTGAGTAGCTGGGATTATAGGCATGTGCCACCACGCCCAGCTAATTTTCGTATTTTTAGTAGAGACGGAGTTTCGCCATGTTGGCCAGGCTGGTCTTGAACTCCTGACCCCAGATGATCTACCTGCCTCGGCCTCCCAAAGTGCTGGGATTACAGGTGTGAGCCAACATAACTGGTAGACTTCCATTTCTTTTCTTTTGGCTAATAGGGATGTTTAGCTTCTCTGACCAGCTTTGCCTGTTGATGACCCAATACACTACCAAAAAAGAGAAAATAAAATAAACTCTATTTCCTCACAATGGAGTATTATAAATGTGTGATTAAAAATTGAAATCATTTTTCTTGGTGGCATATCTTTACTCATAGTTCTACATAAGCTTTGTAGTTTATCTGTGAGCATGTTCACATTTGTTTCCTAACTTGAGCCTTAAATAACCCTCAGAGGTAGGTAAACACTTGGAATTACAGAGGAGGCAAATGATGTTAATGCCGTTAAGTCCTCTTGTTGATAAATGAAAGGGTCAGAATTTGAGTCCAGATCTTTTCATGTCTAGTCCTGCACCCTTTCTCTTAAAACATGTTGCCTTTCCCTAGTTCCCCAGTTTGCTGTTTGGGGAATACATCATTTAGGAAGGATTTTTGTTAGAGGTAAGTAAGAGATAACACCAACAGCAGATAAAGAGTGGTTTATTCTTTGCACATCAAGTCCAGGGCAGAGGTAGGCACTGCTTGTGTTGGTTAAGATTAAAGACTCAAAATGATTCTCACTGATGTCTCTGTTCTCTTGTGATCACAATAGTTGTGGCAGCTTGAGATACTGCGTCTATTCAGGGCAAAAAGATAAAAATTGGAAAGGTGATGCCAACAGCTTTTCTTTGCATCTTTTTGTCCAGAGTTGTGACATATAAATATCTCTTATTCAAAGAGATGCTGGAAAATTATATTGTGTTGTTTGTTTTCCAATCTCTATAGCAGAGGCAGGCAAAGGAGAATAAAGTTGAAATAAAGCTGCGTTTTATGTAAGCCAGCCTACAGTGTGCACCAGAAGAAATTGGAGACATAGCTTAGATGCTGATGTTGAGGGCTTTGATTAGTTAATATCTGTGTAACTATTTTGTTTTTAAGCTTAAGAAATTCTTTGTAAATCCTTTTTCTATGGATTGTTCCACCAGTGGACCATAAGTAATTACTGAGATTCTGTCAATTAAAAAAGGGATTGCTAGGAAAGTTAACACAACCATCAGCGGTGTTCCTCTGTGTTCAGGTGACTTCCTGATCAATCTTGTGTAGATGTAGCAGCTCACCTTGTCCTTGGCACTGACAGCTTTGCCTTTTGCTTTTACATAACATCAGACAACTTGAGGCCTAAGAGATCAAACCAGGGTCCAGATGCTAAGAGCTATATGTAGGTGTTTTTTTTTCTTTTATAAATTCAGCTAGACATAAAGAGCCATCCCTGCTCTCTTTATACATACATCTATATAAAGCTTTGGGATATACTGTAAAACAATGGTTGGCAAACATTTTCTGTAAAGTGACACATAGTACACATTTTAAGGTTTTTTTTTTTTGATACAGAGTTTCGCTCTTGTTGCCCAGGCTGGAGTGCAATGGCGTGATCTTGGCTCACTGCAACCTCCGCCTCCTGGGTTTAAGCAATTCTCCTGCCTCAGCCTCCTGAGTAGCTGGGATTACAGACATGTGCCACCATGCCCAGCTAATTTTGTATTTTTAGTAGATAAGGGATATCTCCACATCGGTCAGGCTGGTCTCGAACTCCTGACCTCATGTGATACACCCGCCTCAGCCTCCCAAAGTGCTGGGATTACAGGTGTGAGCCACCGCACCCGGCCTATATTTTAAGTTTAAAGTACTATTATTGCCTTTCTGTTGCAATGAATGAAACACTCTGCTTTTTTTGTTTGTTTGTTTGTTTTTTTGTTGTTGTTGTTGTTTTGTTGAGATAAGGTTTCACTATGTTGGCCAGGGCTCAAGTGATTCTTCCACCTCAGCCTCCCAAGTAGCTGGGACTAGGCATGCACCACCACCCCCAGCCTATCAACTTTGCTATTATCAAGTAAAAATAGCCACGAAAAATCTATAAATGAATGAGTGTGACTGAATTCCAATAAAATTTTATTTACAAAAACAGGTGGAGGACCAGATTTGACACCTGGGCCATAATTTACCCACTCCTGCTCTGGAGAGGGGCTCTGGAATAATTATCAGAGAATATGAAATAATAGTGAAACCTAGACAGTGTTCATTGTGTGCTAGACCTTGCTCTAAGGCCCTTTGAAATATTATTTCATTTAGTTCTCATAGTAATTATGTGAAGTAGATACTATTAATAATTCAGTTCACAGATGAGAAATAGACACAGGAAGGTTATTTGTTTTGTTCATGGCCCCTGACTAGTAGAATCCTAGTGGGTCTTCCAACTCAGAGAGTCAGCTTCATTGTGTATATGCTTCCAAGGTGGTTTTTGTAAATGTCTTTTCAGCAAAATTAAACAGTTAATAAAGCCAAAGAGTACTTCTCCATAAGCCATCTGTCCACCCTTAGATCCATTCATCCATTCATTCAACCAAGTTAACAAATATTTACTTATCGCCTCCCCTGTGGTAAGCAGTGTTCTAGGAAGTGGTAACACAGCAGTGAACAAGGCTGGCATGACCCTGCCCTCCTGGGGCTTGTCGTCTAGTAAGCACAGCTAGCTGGATAAGTAAGAAAGTAACAAAGACCACATCAATAAGTGAAGGAGTTAAGACTAGACCATGTGATAATGACTGGGTTGGCCCATGAAGGCCTCCGTGAGGAAGTGATGCTCAATTTGAGACACAAATAATGGGAGAAACCAACCAAAGAAAGTTTTGGAAGGACGGGAGTCCCTGGCGGAGAGGAAAACAAGTGTGGCACCCTGAGGTGGGAATGAGCCTGGCCTGAGGGATATGCAGCCGAGCATGGAGAGGGCCAGGCAGGCAGCTGCAGAGTCAGCCAGGGTGCTGAGCACCGAGGACCTTTTAGGCCCAGACCTAAGATTTAAGTCTTGTTCTAGGTTTGGTGAGAGTTGCTTGGGGGGTTTTATGCAGGAAAGCGAATGATCTGATTTGCGGTTTGACATAATTACTCTAGCTGCTCTGAGGAGATTACAGGAGGGACTAGAGGGGAAGCAGGAGGCTGGTTTGGAGGCCAGTGCATGAGTCCAAGTGAGAGAATGTGGTAGTTTGGCCTAGAAGTTAGGAGTAGAGAGAAAAAGAGTGTGAAGATTTGGGTTTTTTATTTTTGTAGGTAGGCTATACAGAAGTGGTGGGTAGCTTGGATATGGCTGAGAGGAAGAGGATAGGTTGAGGACAACCCCTGTGGCTTGGCTTGAGCATATGGTAACATTTACAGAGGTGGGGAAGCCCAGGAGAGAAGCAGATTTGGGAGGAAAAGGGGCAATCAGGAGCTCTTTTTTGGATAAGTAAGTTTTGTCTGAACATTATATAATCAGGTGGAGATGTCAAGTAGACAGATATCTAAATCTGGATTATAAGGCGGAAGTTATGGCTGAGATAAAAATTTTGGTTATATGCATATAAGTAATTGTATCAGTTAGGTTATTTCCTGCTACATGTAACAGGAAACCCAAATTAAACTAGGTTAAATGATAATGGCATTTATTATTTCACATAAGAGGAAACCTGGACATACATAAGCTTCTGGATGGGTTTATCCAGTACTTCTTTTTTTTTTTTTTTTGAGACAGAGTTTCGATCTGTTGCCCAGGCTGGAGTGCAGTGGTGTGATCTGGGCTCACTGCAACCTCTGCCACCCAGGTTCAAGCGATTCTCCTGCCTCAGCCTCTCGAGTAGCTGGGATTACAGGTGCCCACCACCACATCAGGCTAATTTTTGGATTTTTAGTAGAGACAGGGTTTCACCATGTTGGCCAGCCTTGTCTCAAACTCCTGACCTCAAGTGATTTGCCTGCCTCGGCCTCCCAAAGTGCTAGGATTACAGGTGTGAGCCACTGTGCCCAGCCTCATCCAGTACTTCAATGAGATCTTCAAAGACCTAAATGTTCCCTTCTCTTCATTGTACTGCAGTAGTGTCTTCTGTATCCCAAAGTTTGTTGTTTCATAGCTGAAGTCAGAGCTACAGGTTTCCTCATTCATATTGGAAGGGAGAGAGAAGAGAAGGAGGAGGAGGAAGAAAAACAGAGAGAGAGAGAGACTGGTTAACTATTGCTTTCTCTAAAGAAAAAACAGGCTAACTGCGGGCTTCCTCATTCATATCGAAAGGGAGGGAGAAGAAGAGGAGGAGTAAGGGAGTGGACTGGCTAACTATGGCTCTCCTTTAAGAACAAAAAAAGCCTATTTTCCAGAAACCCCCAGCAAACCTTTGCTTATGTCTTATTGACCCAAATTGGCTTAGGCCTGACCATCCCTGAACCAGTCACTGACAATGATAATAGGATTTCCATTATTGACTTAGATAATGTATTTTGTACCTGGAGTACAACCAATTTGGGAAGTCAACCTCAATATCCATTATTTAAACCCATGAAATCATACGGGAAAAGGTAGAGATATGGAATAAAAAAGAGCCCAGGCCTGTGCCCTGAAGAATTCTAATAAAGCAAAATTAAAATCTGATCTTTTTATCCTTCTTCTTGGATTCTACTTCTTGGATTCTTTTTTATACCCACATGCCTGAGTAGAGCACAGCTGTACAGAGTACAGGTGGGTCAAAATCTACCCGTGACTATACATGTGAAATTTGCATAAATGCCAATGCCAATTCCATATTCCATATGCTGAGAAATAAAATCATGGATGATGGATGGACAGAATGCTGGAATGCTGAATCTTCAAAACCTCTGAATAGTCAGAACTTTAGGTGGGGACCAAAAGGGAGGGGATATGGAGGAATGATAATGTAGTAAGTTTGGCAGGGCATTTGGGCTTTCCTGTATTTATTTGTTTACAAGTCTGTTTCTTCCTCAAAATTTTGAACTCCTTTGATGAAGGAACTGTATTTTATTTACTTTTGTATTCTCAGGGCTTAAATGGTGTGCTGTGTCTGTAAAATGTTAAGTAAATGTAAGAAGGAAAGGCAGGGAGGAACATTAGATGGAATGAAATAGGCTGACATAGGACTGTAGTTACATGAAAGAAAGGAATAGTTTTGCATTTTTGTTTGAAGCTGTTAGCTATGTTGTGAAACCTGGCTAGAGGTCCCCCATGTTAAAAAACAAAGAGTTTCCTAAAAGTCCCCAGTAGTCTTCTTAAGCCAGTTGTTCCAGCAGGGGTGATTTTGCTCCCAGGGTACATGTGACAACATCTAGAGACATTTGGGGTTGTCACAACTTGGGTATGGGGGTGTGCTATTGGCATCTAGTGTGTAGAAGCCAGGGATGTTACAAGGCATAGGACAGCCCCCACAATCAAGAGTTATCCAGCCCCCAAAGTATTAATAGGGCCGAGGTTGAGAAACCCCATCTTAATTACATATTGATATGGTTTTCTGCTTAATGATTGTGAATTTACTTTCCATTTCCTTTTAGAATAGAGTCTATAGTCATCCAGGTAATGATGCCTGGAGAGGAGCAGAACCAATCCTGAATTTCAGGGTCATGTGGAACTTTTAAAAATACAGTCAGCCCTCTGTATCTGTGGGTTCCACATCCGAGGATTCAACCAAGTAAGGATGGAAGATATTCGGTCAATCAATCAATACAATAGAACAATAAAAATAAAAATAATCCAAATAAAAACCAATACAGTATAACAACTATTTACATGGCATTTACATTGTATTAGGTATTATAAGTAATCTAGAGATTATTTAGTGTATGCAGGGGGATGTGCATAGGTTATATGCAAATGCTACTTCATTTTATATGAGGGACTTGAGTATCTGCAGATTTTGTTATCTGTGGGGTACTGGAGCCAATCCCCTATAGATGCTGAGGGACTACTAGAATCCATGTGGTGTGTTTGTGTAGAATTTACAGAGATACCTTGGTTGTAAATAAGTTGAGCTTTACCTGCTTATATCCGTTTCTTTCAATAATAGAGACTTCATCATTCTTTCCATGAGGGCCTAATTTGGATGGAACACCAAGAGTGTACAGTATACATTAAGCAATGATCAGACAAATGAAAAGCTGTGTAATGAAACCTGCCCTGTTTTCCATTTTCCCACTCCCCAAATGAGAAGTACTCAAATGGCACAGCACTAAAGCATGTAACAGTGCTGTCCTGTCTACTAGAGCTTTGTATTTGCAAATGATCACTAGGCTCATGTCCCACGAGCTGAAGGATGCTGAAAAAGGGCTCCACACAGCTGTAAATATCCTGGGAGATCCCTAGGATAAGGCAGGGAGGGTTTGGATGGTTCCAAATCTGGCAGACTTCTGTGCAATCACATCTGCATGCATAGTTGTGATATCTCTCATTACAATTTTAAATGATGAGCTTGTTTTTTAATGAACATAAATTGCCTTCAATAGATGTGGTGATTGAACACAGTAAATATTTTTCTGTGACACTAAAAATAGTAAGAACTCTAGAAAGCACTTCTCCTTTCTGTTCTGCAAAAGCTTATCTTCCTATAGCACATAACCTCTTGATGGTGGTTACTTACACACATACATCCTTCTCACTGCCTCTATGGCAATCTTCTTTACTAGAGAGAGTTCTTTCTGGGCCTAGTCAGATCCCACTGCCCTTAGTAAGGCTGAGCTGGCCTGGGAGATCTGTTGCCCTTGGAATGTGCCACCATGTTGGGGGTTGAAGAGTGCCTTTGGGAAAAGCTGCTGGGTTTGGGACAGAAAGGGCCCTTTTACAACAGACTGCCTTGGCACATGTCTGGGCTTCTGCACCTCTGTTCCTTATGGCAAACAAACAGCTTGTTCTTTCCACACATTTTCCAGGGCCTACCATCCCCTCAGGAGCTGCTCATGCAAATTATGTGTGGCAAAGGTTGTCTTTCTCTGTCTTATTGTCCTTCTCTGTCATATTTTTCTGTGAGCGCTCATCTCTTCATTGCTATGTCAGCAGTCTTGGTGTAAGGATAAGAATTCCCCACCATCCAGGCTGCAAGAATGTATTCCTGTACCATGCCCTTGGTGGGGGAGAGGGGACTTGTGTTAGAAAAAAAAAAAAAAAATCTATGCTTGTGGTTCCAGGTCTGATGATTTATAGTAGCACTGAAAAAATAGCTTTTTTTTTTTTTTTCAAATTCATATTGGGCACAAGTGGATTAAAAAAGGAAAATAAAAATCAACAGCTCAGAATACAGTTCACAGATATTCAAAAGGGCAGCTTTTAAACATTTCACTTTAAGGTCACTCCATATTTCTAGAATACTAGTGCATTTCTACCTTGCCTAATCATTTCAGAAAAATAAAGTGTTATTGTGAAGGAAGAATGGGTTTCTGTTGATTCTGCCACTTTGTTTTCTCACATTATCCCCTTGAAGTCAATACATTCATACTTTGGTAATCTCAGAGAAAATGTAGAAAATATTGCTAACATCTTTCCTTAACATTCGAGGTAGTTTTCATTATGTGGATAAATCTCCCTTTGGGGGGCTGGAGCAGGAAAAAGGCTTTGGGGATTCCTAGCTCTAAGATGTGGCTCTCCTCGCTGTTGTTACAGTGCCACAGGCAAGGGCTTGCCCTCAAATAGGCTGCTCAGGAGCAAAGAGGGTTCTTGTCAGAGAGGCTGCTGCTTGGGAAGGAAAGGAGAAGAGCTGTGAATCCATCACCCTGTTGGCAGTGAGCCTGGTGGTTACAAAGGGGAAGGCTCCATACACAAAGCAAAAGGGCTACACTTTGATTTCTGAATGGAACCTTTCTGGCAGCACTTCCCTGGAGCTAGATCCTCAGGAGCTAATGACATAGACTTTCAAGTGTTTTGTAAATACACGCCTACTATTAATGCATTTAAATAAAATAAATTCATTATTCAGATTGCTAAGAAAATGACATCCACATAATTATCTTTTATTTTTCTGTAAATGTGCAAAACACTCTATGGTGTTTTTAAAATTTTGGACCTTTGTATAATGCTAAATGAAGGCCCCAGGCTTACAAACTAGCTCATTGAAAAATGTGTTCTTCAGGCATTATTGTGAGGCATGCAAATGAGGATGTATCTTGAGGAAAGGGGAAGGATGGAATAGACCAAATCCTAATACACAGCTCTGCTACATATTTACCTACCAGTTTGGTGAGAGTGATAGGAAATGAACTGCAAATAAGCCTAAAGAGTCTCCCCTCACCTGGAATGTAGAAGAAAATATGATTAGAATGGGTTCTTTCCAACCCCATCCAACGAGAACAGTGAAGAAGCAGGTCTGAGAAATACTAGCCAAAAGGTAATATTTACTCTCAGTAATGAACAGAATCTAAAAGACAGTTTCACAAGGAAGGAGATGCAAACTGCTGTGACACTGGGTGCAGCAAGGTCCCATGAGATTAGGACTGAGAAATGTCATTAGACTGTTCGATAAAGAGGCCCTTGGTTGACCTCAGAAAGACAGTTTCAGGAAAGTGGTTAAAGTGCTAGAAGAGTTTTAAGTGAATTGAGAAGTGAACGTGTGATAAAGAAATAGAGATGTGCCTATGGATTATTCTTTCTAGGGGTTGCTCAGGAGAAGAGAAGAGAGCTAGGGAAATTGGCCAGAGGAAGACATTGAATTAAAGGAAGGTTTTTACTAATTGGAAAGCAATGAGAAAATTTGGAGGTTGAGAAGAAGGAGCTATTGAAAACAAAAGGTTAAAATACAGGAAGAAAATGCATGGAGAAGCCCCAAAGAATATGGGAAAAGATAAATATTGATGCATGGAAAGAGAATGCCTAGTCCTCAGTGATTACAGGGAATGAGGTTAAAAAGAAGCATGACTATGGATAAATTTGGTGATGGCGAGGAGGAGGAAGTTGAGAAGATTAATTATGGATTGTCTCTATTTTTCTGTGATGTCAGAGGCAAACTCATCTCCTGAGAGCACCAAATAAGGAGTGGGCTAAGGGGCTCTGAGATAGGGTTGAAATATTAAAATATCCCCTTTGTGAAATACAAGAGGAAATTCACCAGCTCAGGACAAGAAATTGATAGGTGGTCTGGCAGAACTTCAAAACCACGAACTCTTAGTGGTAGCACTTGATATGATAGTATCAACTTTTTCAAAGGTGATCCATGGTCTGGGGAGAGGAACACAGAAAGTAGGTGGAGAAAGGGTTAAAGAATTTGAAAAATAGATACAAGCAAAAAGGTTAAGTGGGTGAAGAAATTAAATATTCCAGCTGGTGAGGAGTTGAAGTAATGACTTGTTGGCTTATCCTGGAAGAACGAGATGATGCTAAGAGGAGAAAAGTGAGAAGTCAAGCCACATGAAATCTGAATGACATTTAAAAGCAAAGGATTCTGATTTAGGGATTTGAGAACTGGTGAGATAGCATTTTGTGGTTAGAAAGTAAAAGTTTGGAGTTTAAGATTTTGGAGATGAAGCAGTTCCAGGTGAAGAAAAGATCGTTGCCATGAGAAGTGATTATTTCAGTAAAGTGTGGGTAAAAGAAATTGATGGTTTTAAAAAAAGGCAAAGGTTCCTTTTTATCACAATTTACTATGAAAAATAAAGTGAAATCTCTATGAGGAGTGACCAGCAAGGACTGAAGTTGCAGAAGATCTGCTTAATCATGATTAATTATGAAAAGCTTTCCCCATAGGAAAGAGTGTTTTCTTATTTGGTTATTTTTGTGCATGCTTACTTAAATAAAGGGAATGGAGAGTCTGGCTTTTCTTTCATTTTTAATGTCAAATCTCTAGGAGCTGAAGAAAAAGCAACACAGATGTGATTACTTCTCTGAATAATAAATTCTCCCTCAATGCTACCAAATTTCAAATGAGTCATGTTGCACTTATAACTGTTCTTTTAATAAGAATGTGACATTAACATATTCTCAGCAACATAGTAAACTTTTATTTGCTGATATACTGGGCCTTTTATTAGCCTTTTCATGTATATCATAGGATCAATTTTCTGTTCATCAAAGCTTTATGCTTGAATCCCTCATAAATGTCCTAAGATATGACATTTATATATATAATACATTTAGAGAGTTTTGCCTTCCAGCACAGAGGGAAGAGAGTAGGAGGCTCTACCTTTCAGTTCCACAAGCAACAAAGTCACTAAAAGCAAGATTGATGACTGGAACAAATTGAAATCTTGGATGACAGTTGTCATGGAAAGTTTTAAAATCTCTGTAAAGTTCTCTCTCAGTGAAATGTTGTTACCTAACTGCTCAGATTTAGTCTTTGTTGTAGTCTGTTTTGTGCTGCTATAATAGAATACCATACCTGAAATGGGGTCATTTGTAAAGAATAGAAATTTATTTCTTACACTTCTGGGGGCTGGGAAGTCCAAGACCAAGGCACTGCCAGATTAGGGCCTGGTCTGTCGGCTTCTAAAATGGTGCTTTGAATGGTAGATCTTCCAGAGGGGAGGAACAACATGTCCTTACATGGCAGAAGAGCAGATGAACAGAAAGGGGGGATCCCACTCCCACGAGCCTTTTTTATAGCAGCATTAATCCATTCATGAGGGCAGAGGCCTCGTGACCTAACACCTCTCATTATGTTCCATCTACCAACACCATTGCATTGGGGATTAAGTTTCTAACACATGAGTTTTTGAATTTTACATTCAAACCATAGCAGTCTTTACATTTTGTATTAATTCCTATTTGCTTGCTTTGAGAACAAAGTTGATAGGGACATAGAAAAGAGGTAAGACAACTTAAAAAATAATTTATGTAAGTTAAAAAAGTCTATAAGGCTGATCTATTTGGTTTCTAAGACTCAATTATTTCACTTTTAAGTGATTTGTTAAGCATATTAGGTCTTAGATTGTGCCCTGGAAATTGTCCATTAAGAAATTTCCAAATTATTTATGGTGCAGTTTTATTCCTCATAGCTTTGCCTTAAATGTTATATGGAAAAAGCCATAGCAACTTTACCTGAGCATGGCTTAGGTTGGCTGATGAGGAAATGAGACTGCCAGAGTTCCATGAAACATGAATTTCTCAGAGTGAACTTTAAAGGGCTGGAAAATAGGCCGCTATTATTTTCTTCTGCCTGGTTTCATGTTATACATTGCCAACGATGCCACTGTCAGAGATGTTTAGTTGTGCTGGTCTAGATCAAAGAGTTTAGTCAAACACGGTGCACAGAAAAGACACTGGAAAGCCAATGAAATGTTGTTCGATGGAGCCAGAAATGAGTGGTGAGCAGCAAGCATGATTGTGCAGCTGACTCACAGGCTGCCAAGGGAACAAGTTGGCCCAGCACATGTTGGCCTGCAAGCTGTGTGGAACTCTCCTCCCTCTACTCCTGCAGGTATCTTGGAATCTGGAATATTTTCAAATAGATTCATATTCCATATGGCTGATGCTATGGTCTGAGTGTTTGTATGCCCCCAAAATTCATATGTTGAAATACTAACCACCAAGGTGAGTTGGAGGTGGGGCCTTTGGGAACTGTTTCCACCTCCATGAATGGGATTAGTACCTTTATAAAAGGGAACCCAGAGAGCCTACTAGCCCCTTCCACCAAGTGAGGACATAGTGAGAAGGTGCCTTATATGGTCCTCACTGGTTGTTGAACCTGCCTGCATTTTGATCTTGGACTTTTCAATCTCCAAACCTGGAAGAAAGAAATTTCTGTTGTTTATAAGCTACTCAGCTTAGTATATTTTATTATAGCAGCACAAACAGACTAAGAAAGGTGAACCGATATTTCTTACAGCTGGCTGTTATTCTCACCACTCCCCCAGACCACTGTTCAATACCAAAGCATATGGATCTGCTCTTAACCAACAACACTGATGATCTAACCTCCAGTCCCTGATTTCCTTCCATCCAATCCCTATCAAAATCTTTGTCGCAAGAAATAGTTATGAAGGAGCATTTGCAGATGTTACAGTCCACACACTCCTCTAGATAGAAAAGTTTTTCCCTTGGATTAAGAAGACCATCAGAGAACTGTCTACCTCATTCCTTATAGAAGTGCTTTAGCTTAACTGCACTTCAGTTTGAACTGCTCTTGGTTCACAGCACAGGTTTTCCTAAACAACAGCTGAGCATCCTTTGCAATTGATTTTACTGTAGGATGTGTTTAATGGCTTTGTCCACCACACCCCATAATGTCCCACAAGTTATTGCTCTGATGTCTCAGTACCAGGAAAACGCATGTTACTACTGAGTGGTTGGTTTATCTTCCTTTTAAGGACATGATGCGTCTTTGTAACATTTTTTCCCTTTTTGCTTTAGCCGTTGGAAAGTTAGAGCTAAATTTGGGACATAGCTCTAAAGACCATAATGCTAATTTTACCCTTTATTATATTCTCATCCACTTTAACTTTTACACCAACTCTTTTAAGAATTGTATATCCTTTTGTGATCCATATATTAAGAACCCAATAAAATTTCTCTCTAACGTGAAAAAAATTATGATACAAAGTCTCAAAGCTCTGCAAGTAAAATAGTAAAAATACAGCTCCTGGTGGTCAAAGACAATGAAAGTAATGAGCTCATGACTAAGGATCCCCTGAGTGGAACTGGCTCAGTTCAAGGTATATGGACATGGCAAAAAATGTCGGCTGTGCAGCTTTGTGCCATTTATTTTAAGCCAAAAAGACATGGCTAAAATCAGTGTTCTCTGGAGTGTGCTCTACAGAACATTAGTTCTTTGTCAAGGGTTCTATGATCAAATACGTTTGGGACACTCGAGGAATATATGTAGCTTTTCAAATCTAAACTGCAGGATGTCTAGAAGGTTTTAACACACATGCATTATGAATCTCCAAGAAGCAGACTCTATGGTACAGGGTTTCCAAATTTATTTGACAATTTATTTTTCCTGGAGCATCTTCAAGAGCTAGTTTTATTTGACAAATGCTGGGGTAGAATAACGCCATAATAATAATAATTATTATTATTACAAAGGACTGTTTCCTCTTAAAATATACAGGGCAAAGACCTAGATATTTATTGCTGGTATTCTTAATTTCTTATTTTAAAATCAAAAGTGACAACGCACTAGGAACAAAAGCAATGAAGATTTTCATAAGCCAGGTATGGTGTTTTATGGATTTATTTAGTGGAGTCTTCTATACTTAGGTTATTTCTTCTTAATGTTTGAGGTTCTTAACTATAGAACAATGTGGTGTTGAGGTGGAATCCTTGGCAACATGCTAATTTTATGACATAGTTACACTTTAGGAGGGCACAGTAGTGAAGTGATTGGAGTCTAAAATCAGACGTGACTTTAATTTATGGCTCTGTTACTTACTGATATGTGATTTACTAGATATGTGACTTTGCAAAAAAGTTTCTTAAATTCTATAAGTCTTGGTTTCCTTTCCTGTAACATTGGGATTATAATATATGTACCTCCTAGAGTTGTTGTGAGAATTAAATGAATTTATATGTATATATTATGTCTGTGTATGTATGTACAGTGTCTATCACAACAATTTTCATATTGTAAATATCTAATGAATTGTAATTGTAACTATGATGATATTTGCTCATTCAGCATTTATTGAGCACCTGCTAGGTAAAGGGTACTACAGGGTTTGCAGATACAAATATGAATGAGTCATAGTCCTGTCCTTGAAGAGCATGCAGTTGTCAAGTAGACAAATAGCGGACAGTTATGTAAGTGTGTAAAGTGAAGTGTTTATGGATTCATAATAAATATAAGTACTTAAATAGTGCAATTGCAAAAGAGAGGATTGTCAGTTTTGGGCGGATGGAGCAGGGAGGTGGCTTGCACGAGGATTCACTGTGGATGCTATTTTTGAGGTGAGTTTGAAAAGGTGGTTAGGTATTTGCCAGGAAGAGGACTGTGAGGCCAGGGGTGCTGGCAAGAGATTTATGAGCATGAACAAAGGCAGAATAAATTTAGGAAGCTGCAGGTAGCTCAGAAGAGCTGCAGATGGCACATGCAGGTCAGGGGCGTGATGAGAAACCCTGTGGCAGGGCTTGGCAGTGGCTAGATCATCGAAGGTCTTAAATCGCAAAATGAAGCCTTTGAAGTTCCCTAAGCAATAGAGAATGATTGAGGAATTTAAGCAGTAGAGTAACTGTATCAGATGGTTTTAGATCAGCACTGCTCCAGGTGTGGCTTGTATTTTTGCTGTGTTAGCATCACCTTGGAGCTTTATTAGAAGTGTAAATTATCAGACCCCACCCAGAGCTACTGAGTAAGAGTCTCCAGGAAAGGGGCCCGTGTTTTGGCAAATCAGGTTACATCTTGGATAGCATTAAGGTTGGGGAAGCACTGTTTTAGATCCATCACTCAATGCATTTTATAGAGGGTAGACTGGATGCTCTCCAGTTACATGCAGGGAGATTAGTTAGTAAAGAGCCACTGTCCAGGTGAGGAATGATGGCAGAATCTGAACTAAATTAGCAAAAGTGGAGGAAAAGAAGAAGGAGACATAATACAAATACAACGAAGTTTACTTTATGGAACCTTAGTCCCCACCTGGATGTTGTATTAGATAAAGGAACGATTCGGGGATGATTCCTAGGTTTCTTGCTTTAGTAATAGAATGCAGTATTATGCATTAAAATAGGGAATACAGAAAGAGTACAAGGCATTTTGTTTTGTTTTTAGGCAGGGAGAGAGCTAAATTATGAATTTTGTTTCCAACATATTAGAAGTGCCTGTGGGACATCCAGATGGAAGTGCACTTATTTTTGGCTGCTGGACCTATGGACCCAGTGCTCAGCAATGAGGTCCTGACCAGTGTTAATGGATTCAAGAGTCATGAACATCCAGTGGGGAGGCAAAGCAACGGGAATGGATGAAATTGGAAAGAGATCCGAGTATAGAAATGTGGGTAACAGTAGATATTTTTGCGGATCTTTATTATCATGTTATCCCTTTTATCTTAACACTATTTCCTCTCAGAAATACATGCACCAGTCAACCTAACCCACTTGAGATTCTCCGGATACACATTCTATCTTAACCTCTGGCTTTTTCACAAGCTGTTGCTCTGCCAGGAACATTCCTTGTTCTCTCTGATCCTAGTAGACTCCTACCGATCCTTCAAAACCCACCTCTAAAGCAATCCCTTCCCCAGGAAAAGTACCTCTTCTAGATGCTTTCTTAGAGTTATTGTACTAAGTAAAATGGACTGTTTGCCTCTATGTTCCCTTTGTGCTTAGTTCCTGCTGGTAAGGTCTGTGTCTGGTTCAACCTTTCACCTCAGTCCTGGAAAGGTGCTTGACACATAGCAGATGCTCAATAACTAATTGCTCAATGAGTTAGGAAACAATGGTCAGAGGAAGAAGGGTTGCCAAAGGAGGAATAAGAAAGCATGGTAGTAGAAGGAATGTAAAGAGAGACGGATAGCATGGAAACCAATAAAGGAAGTTTCTAGAATGAAACAGTCAGTAATGTTGAGAGCTTCCAAGCAATCCTGTAAGATAAAGACTTAAAATACTCATAAGATTTGCACATTAGGTCAGTAGTGCCCTTTATCAGGGTGGCTTCAGTAGAGTGAGCTCAAAGCAGAAATCAGACTGTAGAGTTTGAAGGACAGCTTGGAAGTAAAAGAGTGGAACTTAAACTATGAGAAACTGTCCCATGACAAGAAGGATGGAAGAAGGAGATGTAGTTCGGGTGAGGGCTCTCTGAAGTGAGAGATGACTTAACATGCCTGTGCTATGCTGTTGAATATGGCCTGGCATAATAAAAAATCCAATGTAAAGAAGGAGGGAGAAGGAATGATAACTGAACAAGCTTCCAGCATAGAGGAAAGGGATCAAGCTTCATGAAGAAGGATTAAGCTTGAACTGGAAGAGGACCTAGAAGGGGCAGAGATGTGTTGGATATAGACAAGTTTATAGGGGTGGGAGAAGGAAACTTAGGGAGTTGAAGATTGATGGCTTAATTTTCCTAGTGAAATAGTGAGCAAGTTTATCTGGTATGAAGCCGTGTGTGTTGGAGGTGGCTCAGACAGGGAGAGAGGCCTGGGGAACATACGCCTGGAGGGGAATGACGTGACTTGGAAGACCCAGCAGATGGAGCTGACCAAAAATACATTATTATTTTTTTTTCAAAAGGAAGTCCCATCATCTTAAAATTAGCATCCCTTATGTATTGATTTGATGAGAACTCTTTATTGAGTATATAGGAAGTGTCATGAGGTCATTATTAATTTACGGTATTATGCTTCAGTCTCTCTCACTGACGACAAATTATTTTTAAAGGACGGTCCTTCCAGAATTCAAAGAATGTTATTTGTCTCATCATCTAGCTATTTATACACTATGTAAATGACCTGAACTTCTAATAACAGTGCAATCCATGTGAGACGCCCATATTACAGAAAGAAGGGAGAAAAACCCAACCATATTATTACTTTGGTTGAGTTTGTCATATTCCTTAGTTAAATGCATGAGCAAGCCATGCTGCGCTGTCTTGAATTAACTATTAATCAGTGTAATATATAAAGATATGCACCTTAAAATTATGGTTTTATGTGTCAAGTGGCACCATAATATTAAACATTAACACTTACTGAGTTCTTGTAAAATAGCGTAATATTTTGCTGCAAGCTTTCCTAATATAATTTCATTTAAACTTCACAATAATTCTGGGAAGTAGTAAATATTTAGATCTTATTTATAGATGAAGAAATTGAGGCTAAAATGTGTACCTTGTTACAACTGGAAGACCTTATGTTAAGTGAAATAAGCAAGTTACAGAAAGACAAACTTCACAGGTTACCACTTATTTGTGGGAGTTAGAATTAAAATAGTTGAACTCAAGGAGACAGAGAGTAGGATGATGGTTACTAGAGGCTGGGAAGGGTGGTGGGGGTGGGGGTGGAGGTGGGGAAGGGGGAAGTGGGGATAGTTAATGGGTACAAAAATATATATAATTAGATAGAATGAATAAGATCTAGTATTTGATAGCACAACAGAGCAAATACTGTAAACAAAAATAACAGAATATAATTGGATTGTTTATAACACAAAGAAATGATAAATGCTTGAGGTGATGGATATCCACTTACCTTGATGTGATTATTATACATTGTATGCCTGTATGAAAATATCTCATGAACCCCATAAATATATACACTTACTATATACCCACAAAATTAAAAATAAAATTAAAAAAAGAGTAAAAACATGTACCTTGCTTTACTTTTAGCTTGCCATTCAAAAAGATGTCGAGTTTAGAGGCACTGATATTTAGCTAAGAGTTCTGCAATTTAACTGCAATTTTACAACATTTCGAATTTTAAAATTTAACAACACTAAATAACTTGATAGGAAGGTTAAAAGCCTAGGCTAGCATGACCTAACTACTGTGTTCATGATGGACAAATACAAGGCATGTGTGCCTTTCTATTCCCTTCTAAGCCCATTGCAGACATTGATAATCAATTGTAGCACACTTTCCTGGGGGCCCAGACTTAGTCTCAGAGATTTTCACAAGAGGGTGCTCTGGGCAGTCACTACTAATTGATTTTCCACTCAGAGGCTAATATACCCAATTACTTTGTGAATCACATCTGGTGGACAGGAATGCCAGTTCAAATCCTCCAAGAAGCAGCCAAGATGGGATAAGACCTATAAGAGTTTTTTTGGAGGAAATACCTGGGAAGAATAAAGAGAAAGGGAGTAATTATAGGCAGGGAGAGTCTTCAGACTACAAGGCAGGTCTGACACCTGTAAAAGGAGAGAGGGAAGGAAGAATTGGGTAGACAGGGTCTCAGACTGTAGCACAGCTCTGAGAAAGTTTCAGCCAGGATGATGTGTTCCCTGAGCAAAAGTATCTCTTAGAAGAATTCTCACTGGGCAGCAATGGGCTGGCCCTCATACCTGCCCTCTTACCATGCTCACTTGCTGGCTGTGAGTAGTCTGGGGGAAAGATAGCTTTAGAGTAGTAAATTCAAAGGGTGGCAGCTGGAACTTACAAGTCAATCATGCTCCCCACAACAGGTTCTCTTGAAGACAATTTGAGTGTACACTTCCATGACAACCATAAGACTCGCTGGAAATGTCTTAGTGGATCTTCTAAAGATCAGCTATGGATTTTGATTGTGCTATCAAAGCTGGCCATTCACAGAGCCACTGAATGTTCCTTAGCAGCTAGAAGATTAGAATGACAGTTCTGTTTCCTAGAATTGTGGCTCACCCTCCTGAGTTGTTTGTGGAGCCCTTGATCCTTTCGTCATCAGTCCCTGAGGAAGAAGAGGAAGTGCCAGCTACTCTTTTTTTGTTTGCCAGCTGACCCCTGCTCTTATCACTTCATCTAGTAGGAAACAGTGTTTCACTTTCACTTAGCAAAATCTATCCTCTTTGTTACAAGGATTGTAAAATAATAAAATATGATTAAAATAGTATCTACAAGAAATATGTTTAAGATGTTCAAATATTCCTTGAAATTACAAATATAGAAATGTCTGTACAGTTGACTGGCATTCTCCTAAATCATATCTTCACTGAAATATATATCTATTTATCTTTTTCATGTGATGCACATTTTTTTCTTAACAAAAAAAAACACAAAGATTTTGCCACTCAAGGGTTATTAACAATAAGTAGCAACTCAGCAAAGTTTCTTGAGCTAGTAAGTAAGTTTATTCATTGAGTTCCTCCTGCACACCACTCTCAGAGCATGTGCAATTCAAAGTGTACTTGGGTAAGATGACATGTTATCACACATTGTAATGATGACAACAGTCACAGTTATTGACTACCTCTAATGATTGCCCCGTGAGTGCCAGGGCACTGTATCTGAAATATATTAATATCAGATATTTATAATAACTCTGTAACATAGGTGGTACTATTGCCTTTCAGAGAGAAGGGAAAAAGGGGATATTAGAGAGGTTAATAAGGAATAAGTTTGCCAAAGTCAGTAACTGTCAAAAATAGGATTTAAAGCCACACCGTCTGGCTCCAACTCCTAAGTTCTTAATTACTATTTGGAGTTACTCAAAGAGTTGAAATCAGTTTACACTGGGAGTCTGTTGCATGTAATATTATACCTCCCAAATTTGAGGCATCAGGTTTGCCTTTAAGGCTAGACACAAATATAATTAAATACACATAGTATACATACGGCTAAGGCAACCCTTACCTAAATATTGCAGTTGTGCTCCACACCTTAAGGCTTGTCTCAGGAAAAGGAGTTTTTTTTTTTTTTAAGGGACGTTTCTAATGGATATTAGAAGTAGAGAACAATTTCTATGTTTATCTCTTATCAAAGTTATCTTGCGGCCAAAGATAGTGTTCTAAGTTACAGGTGAGCAGAGGCTGTGTCTAGGTTATCCCCAGCTCCTAGGCACCATTCCTGGAACATACAGGAAGCTCCATGTTGACATTGCCTGAGGGATTGCTGGCACATTCAGCTGCTGAGAAAAATATGATATTCATTTAATAGGAGATCATAAGCAAGAAATAATGTAGCAACTTCACTTAAATTAAGCTGGAAGAATAGCTGGAATGTCATGTGTCCCAAATCTGCTCAGTAGTCTGCTCTTGTTTGGAGTTGAGGGTGGTTCTTTGTGGGTCTGATTTTCCTAAAGACACAGAAAGAGGCAATGGGCTTAGTCATTAAGAAGAGAAAATGAAAAGGAAATTTGACCACTATTTTTTTTAAAAGCCTTATTATAAGTCCTGGAAAAATGTGTGTGGCAGATCAAAATAGCCAGGTGTTTGGGTAACAGCCCTCTGTGGCCACCTGGCTGAGGGCAGCTGGTCATCAGAGTAGATGAGAAAAACATCTTCCAAAAAACGAAGAGTTAGCCTATGGGAGGTCACTGGAAAGCACCCGATGTGTGGGAAGCTGCACACAGACCATAAATTATGTGCATGAAGAAAGAATTAAAGGAGCACATTTTAGATGTTGCCAGGGTCTAATGAAAGGTCTCTTTATACAGAAAAGTAGACATTCTTCTAGGGACTCAGTTGACCCTTCAGACACTGGTAGGTCAGAAGACACATTCAGCAGTAAAGATATGGAGAAACTTACTTCAGTGCATAACTTGATGATAACATTGAGCACCTCCAGAAAATGAAACACCAAACTTAGGGGTCTGAGTTATAAGGCAAGTCTCTCCAGGTTAAGTGAAAGGAGCGAAAGCTACTAAAATTTGGACAAATATAATATAATGGCCTTTTGGGAAAGTAATCCAAAATATATGATATGGTTTGGATTTCTGTCTCCACCCAAATCTCATGTTGAATTGGAGGAGGGGCCTGTTGGGAGGTGATTGGATCATGGGGGCAGATTTTCCCCTTGCTGTTCTTGTGATAGTGAGTGAGTTCTCGGGAGACCTGATTGTTTGAAAGTGTGCGGCACTTCCCTCTTTTCTCTCTCTCTCCTGCTCCACCATGGTAAGATGTGCTTGCTTCCCCTCCACCTTCTACCACGATTGTAAGTATCCTGAGGCCTCCCAGTCATGCTTCCTCTTAAGCCTGCATAACTGTGAGTCAGTTAAACTTATTTTCTTCATAAATTATTCAGTCTCAGGTAGTTATTTATAGCAGTGTGAAAAGAGACTAATATATGTCTTGAATTTTGAACTTCTTGCCCAGTAAAATTATGTAAGAATTACTATGAACTGTATTTATCAGGTAGACTTTCAAAATATTCCTGCTTTCTACTCATTTTCCACTTCTTCCACTCACCTCTGACCCCACTTGTATTTCCAAGCCAACAGCTTACTATAAATAACAGTAAGCTATTTTTACTTACTTTTACATACATGTTTGGCACTTATTACATACAGGCACTGTTCTAAGTGTTTTACAAAAATTAACTTGTTCATCCTTACAATAGCTCTTTATTATTATCCCTATTTTACAGATAAGGAAACTGAGTCACGGAGAGGGAATTGACCAAAAAAAAAAAAATTAAAAAGAACAACAACAATAAAATACCCAGCACCTAACAAATAGGGGAACAAATAAATAGCACTACTGTTGTCAAAATAATGCTGATGGTTTCAATAACCAAGAGCTGGAGACAAAAGGTGGAAAGGGAAACAGAAGAAGCAGGCCAGAAACTAGACTAGAGGAACAAATTAAAGAGGATTTAAAAAGACTAGTCTTAAGAAAGATAAGAACTGGGCCTAAAGTCTGTAAAATTAGGTGATTATTTGCTTATGAAAGGGACTTTAGAACTGAGGACACTCTCTGAATCCTGAAGAGAAAAGAAAATACTTGGGTGCTTTATAGTCAGCCTGATGATTATAAACCCTGAACCAGCCCTGGGAATAAAAGGAAGGAAAGAGAGGGGGAAGAGGCCACAGATGAGGAGGCACAGGAGGACACGGTGCTGCGGACTGTATGGTGACGGCCATCTGTCATGGTCCAGGAGGACACAGAATGGTCCTGTGGACCGTATGGGGATGGCCATCTGTCATGGTCCATAAACCCTCAGGGCTTTGGCTCCCAAACCATCTTCTGTGGGGCCCTCAGAGAAAAATTAACCAGGCTCCCACTCCCCTGGCACAGCAGTCTATTGTTACACATATGTTCAAATTGAGACCCTGTTTTCCATGGGAAGCTGTTTTTCATTTCTGCATATGCAAGCTGAATCAGGCAACCACGACCAAGGCCACTCCTAGACTGTCTCTTTCCCTGTCACTGCATTTGCTTGTCTCTCTCCCCGGCTCCTCTTGCTGCCTTTGAAGCAGGTGCCTTCACCTGGAGTCCCGTGGACTGGAAGTCCACGTGCCAGGCAAAAGGCTCTCTCTGCTTCACTATTCTCAACCCCAGTCACGGAGGAGACTCTGTTGCCAAGAACTGGGCCAGAGAAAATACAAAAATGGTTTTCAACCAGGCAAAAATATGCAAACAAACTGGTTTGAAGGAAGGGGCCAAGCAAATCCACAGTCTTAGTTTCTGAGTTACAGCAGAGGGAGGGAAGTCAGGGATTATCTGTGATTGTCTGTGGCTCAGAAGTAGAAGTGAAGGGGATTCACTGCTTTCTGTGTCCTTGCTGAGTCTGAAAGCTGAAAAATAAAACATGAATATTCTCAACTTTATCAAGTTGGAGTCCTTAAAATACAAGTTAGATTAAAATTCGTCTTCTCTCATTTCATAAGATGGCTGATGTAGCTCATCTTTTGAGTGCTTTACATGGCAAATACAGAAGGTGGGGTTATCTCTCCTAATATCCTTTCTGCTCTGATGTGACTTTGAGACCACCCAGATCTACTTATTCTGCCCCTCATCTACTGGAGGAAGGAAAAAAAGGTCCTTACCCGCTTATTTTCCTGTATCTCAAAGGTTACCATCTCTTTGGTGAGGAGTTAATCTAAAAAGGTCCTTACCTGCTTATTTTCCTGTATCTCAAAGGTTACCATCTCTGGTTGAGGGTATGAGATGTGTACAGACGGTAAACTTCCTGAGAAGAAAGAGGGGCAGAAATACCTCTCCCAGATGGTAATCATAACAAACTAGGGCAGGTAGAAGGGTGTGTGTGTGTGTGTGTGCACATCAATTTGATTGCCAGCAACATCTGACTTGTCAATTTATTGGGTAAATCTTCAGGATTAACTGATTACCAACCTCTATTTGGGCTTGTCTTTGTTTTCACAATGTATTGTGAGACATAATGATATCTACATTGTTTAGCTCAACTGTGGTTTTCAACATTGGCTGCACATTGTTATTATCTGGGGAGCTTTACAACTTCCAGATGGGTGGATTCCTCCTCCCGAGAGTCAGGTTCAATTGGTCTGGGTGTGGCCTGTGCATCAGGAATTGCAAAAGCTCCCCAGGTGATTCTAATTTGCGGATGAGCCTAAGAACCAGGGCTAAGAACTGAAGGTTGAGTTACTTCCTCATGAGAAATTTAGGAAGATTCCTCAGGCTATTGGGCCAGATGAAAGGACATGTTATAGGGACATCATTAGTTAAAAAGAGAAGACACTGAAAAGAAATATCTAAATGCAGGTCTTTCTGTTTCCAAAACAGTAGCACCCATGGCTATGAGTCTGTTAGAGGAGGCCACAGAAAACACTTGATCTCTCCCAAGTTTTCTTCTTGTCATTAATCTGTTTGTATCCATGAAAACTATGGTCCCCTTCTCTTAAATACCCATTGATATTCAGGAAGCCTGCAGGCCAGAGGTACAGCTTTATTAGCAATTGTGCCCACTGGTTTTCCCTATAGTTCAAGCAACAGAACAATCTCTACAAACAAAAACTCACTGTTTTCTGTGCACATCAAATAGACACCAAAGCCAGGAGTTCAGATTTGTTACCTCCAATCTCCCGGTGAATAGACTGTGAAGCTAGAAAATTATGCTACTGAGAATGTCAGATTCACATTGTCTTTCAGCATCTTGGGACACTTGGATAACTGTCAAGACATCTCTTGATTTTAGTTAAAGAATTCCCTTCCTTGTAAATCTATCAAATACTATCAGTGGTAACATATAGCCTTTGCTGAGCACTTGCTATGTACTAGGCATTCTACTAAGGGCTTTGTGTGGATTATTTTATTTAATTCTCATATCAATTGTGGGAATTGGATGCTGTTTTCTCTATTTTACAGGTGAAGAAATTGAGACTTTGTGTGGCCCTATGACGTGGTTATTATCTTGCTATTGGTAAATGTCAGGACAATTATTTAAACCTACATCTGTGACTTCAAAATTAAAACTTTTATTACTGTTCCCCTTGCTTTGTAGACCTCCAGTATAAGATAATTCAATTTTGCTTGTTTCTCAGACCCTTAGATTATCCCTCCCTAAAATTTTAATTAATTTAATTTTAATGCAATTTTTTGTTGATTTATTTAAAAATTAGTCTTTCTCTAGGAGTTTGCCAGTGCATACATGAACCTCAAACAACAGCTGAGTTTATGACTGGGGACTGAGATGTTTCTTTGTGCAATTTAATAAATCCCAAGAAGGAAACAACAACAATAAAATCCAAAGTAATAAGTGGTTGCTGGGGTTGGGCAAAGTGGCACATGCTAGTAATCCCAGCATTTTGGGAGGTTAAGGCAGGAGGATTGCTTGAGGCCAGGAGTTTGAGACAAGCCTGGGCAACACAGTGGGATCCTGTCTATACCTTAAGAAAAATGTAATAGAGTTGCCGAATATGCTCATGTGTTGACTCGTATTATTGGTACTGCTATTTGGTCAGCATCAAAGACCAAATTTAATACTTTATAAAATTTATTTTCCTGCTTTAGCTAATGGTTGTTATAACATTTTGCTCATGTGCCAGAGATACTTGAAAATCTTCTCAAAACTATTATTAGCAAGCAATATAAAACAGGGCCAGGGTTTCTCTGCTATTAATATTTGGATATATTGGATGAAGACATGAGGTATGATGGTGTGAGCTTTTTTAACATTGACTATATTGCTACAAAGCAAATAAACAGTTACAGAGGACAGGAGGTCAGCAAACGAAGGTTTTGTAAATCTGCATTTGACTGTGTGTATGCATAGGTATACATGTAGAGAGGTCTCCATGTACATGTCTTTCACTAATTTCTGTCCTGCACATTTAGTGTGATGCTCTAACCTCTGAGAAGTCCTGTCATTTTAGTGCGCTCTGAGTGAATGGCTTGGGCTTCACTGCTGTCTGAGCTTGTCCTGCTTTTCTGAGCGTCCGGATGGGGAGGCTCTTCTATGACAGGGATGTTTATCTTGCCATTATAGAACCATCAGAGGTTTTTGCTTGGGGCTCTGCACTTGAACTCACTGTCAGTGGATAAAGGCCATCCTTGTGGATTTATGGAGTCTCTAGCACCTCTAAAATATGTTGCAGCTTCTCAGTCTTATGAGACCAGTAAGCCTAGAGTAAATCAATGTCAAGGATAGGTTTATTTTCTTTTAAAGCTTTTTCTCCTCTGAGGCCAAGACTGCATTTTCACTTCTCCAAATAAAGCATTTAGCAATCTATCTTTTAATGCTTTGGGTTCCTCTGACTTCTGGGCTCAAGGCCAGAACAGAGTTGAGGAGGTGATGGGAGGAGGAGATGCTCCTTCTCCTTTGTTGACAGAGCAGCCTGTGAATTCACTGTCCTTCAACTTTGGGATGATACACATGGCAGAATGCTGGGAATGTCCTCTGATGGTGGGACCAGGTTTTGTTCTATTGTGAGTGTGATATATATTATAATTTACATCATTGCATATGTATAATTATATATAGGTGTGCTATAATATAAACTATAACTAAAATGAACTTCAGAAATAATGCAAAGATATGTGCAAAACCTAGAGAGAGGCTAGAGTGGTCAGAAAGACTTTGTGGGATTCACACGGGCACTCCACATCTCACTCTCCTTCCAGATGTGCAGTGCAATATAGAACTGCATCCCACACTCCCTTGAATTAGGTGTGGCCTTATGACTGTTTGGGCCAATGAAGTAAGCATGGAAAAGAAACAGGTCTTTTCTGGGCAGAAGCATTAAGAGCCAGTGTGTGCTTTGCAACACTCTCCTTTCCTGCTCACATGGTGAATGGGACTGCTTCATCAGCCCAGGTCCCTGATGGAATCTCCTTAGTGACCCACTACAGACCTGTAGAGAGAGAGCAAGACATAATCTTCTGTTATTTGAAGCTACTGAAGTTTGGGGTTATCAATGTAGTCTGATTGATAAGGAAATCATGTTAAAGCTCCTGTATTAAAGTGTAATAGAAATGTGACAAAGGAGATTCCTCAAGAGGAAAGGACTTGAAGATTTCTTGTATGTTTGTTTTAACCTTAAGAACTGTTGGGGCCAGTAAACGTACAGAGCTTTTAAAAAGTGTTAAAATGCCCAGGACAAGTTCCATAAAGCCTTTGTTTTATTTTGTTTTTAATTATGGTAAATGTACATAACATAACATTTACTATTTATTGTATTTTTAAGTGGACAGCTCAGTGGCAGTAAGTACATTCACATTGTTGTGTAATCATCATCACCACCCATCTCCACAACTTTTTCATCATCCCAAGCTGAAACTTCATGCCCATAAAACAATAATGCCTCATTCCCTCTTCCCACCTTCTACTCCACACCTGCCCCTGGCCATTCTCCTTTCAGTCTGTATGATTTTGACTACTCTATATAACTCACATAAGTGGAATCATACAATATTTGTTCTTTTGTGTCTGGCTTACTTAAATCCGCTTGGTTTCATTTTCAGTAGAAAAGACTGGATTTCAGTTTTTGCTGGCAACTCCTGTAGCTGTTCAGCTATTTTGAAGATAGTCTTTGCTCCAAGAAGAAAGAGGGATCACAAGAATCCATCATAAGGACTGACTCTGGTGGTGGGTTGAGGTGGCTTCATGCTTTCCAGGCCAGAGGTCAGCAACCCTTCCCAGCTGAAATGCGAGTTCCAAGCTTCCCTTGGGTCAGGGGTTAGGGGTGCTTTCAAACCCAGAGTGATGAAGTTCTGCCTTCTGCTCATACAAGGAAAGGATTGCCATATTCTACAAATTGAGAGAGAGGGGGAGTTTTGATTTCTTTTAGTAGCAAAGGTTGGCCCAGTGTCAGCAGATAGTTCTAGCTTTCAGAAGGGGTTGTGACAATGGTGACAGATCCTGAAGTCATACTCAGTCATCCTGTGCCCCATCAAAGACAGAGGGAGTCTTGTTTATCATTCTTTTTGCTTGAAGAAAAGTATCTTGTCAGAAGTTGTCTGGAGATGTGATTACCCATTTGGTGATTTCTTTTCCTTTCCTTTCTTTTCTATTCATATCATATTCATATCTATTCATATCAATAGATATACTGAGTTTAACATACACAAAGCCATGAAAACCAATGATGCCAGATGGCACTCACTTTTCCTTTTCTTTTCTTCAGAATTGCACTTATTAGAAGCACATGTGTAGTCTAAGATGGACATCAAAGAGGTGGAGGATGGTGGTGGGAGTGGGGTCAGAGGACGACAGAGGATACAAACTCAACTGCACTGATGTCGTCCCTGAGTTCCTGTTCAGGAAGGCAGGCAGCATGTGGAGGAGATGGGTGAGTCCTGGAGGTCCCTGCTGAAATCTAGCTTTTGCATGTTCTATCAGATTTGGCCACCTGGAGATAATGGTGAAATCCCTGCCTTCTGTTTATATTGGAGTTTTTGTCTGGAAACGAAAAGAATTGAAGGTTATTTTTTTAAGGGTCCTGGGAAATAATTGTCATAGAGGTAACAAAACTGTGCTCTGGTTTAGACATTTGCTCAGTAGATATTATCTCATGTGTCAGGCATTTTACTGGGTGCTGAGAATACAGTGGAAGAATAAACATGGTTTCCTCCTTCATGAGGTTCATAGTCCAATGAGGTGACAAATATTATTTACTCAATCAATAAGCCAGTCAATAAGTATTTATTGAATGATAATTATGTTCTAGGCATAGGGGATATTACAGGAAGCTAATTAGACATGAGTTACATAAAACAAATGTCAAATTGTAACTGTAAAGAGGGCTAGGAAAGAGAGGTGCCCTGGACCACAAGAGCTATTATGAGGGTTCAGCATGGCCAGAGAGAGCTTGTTCGGTGATCTGAGGGACAGAGAGTTCAACCAGGTGAAAGGAGATAGGAGCATTCCAGGCAGAGGGAGCAGCTTGTGCAAAGGCCCTGTGGAGGAAAGGATATTGGTGATAATGAGGGGGGAATGGAGACCTTTGTGGTTCAAGTTGGGAGAGAGGGGACTGGAAGACAAGTTAATTTTGAAGGAGTGGGCAGGGGTCAGTCATGAAAGGCATCCCTATAAAAATGAGAGGAGCCTGGCTTATCATTGTCTTTGTTAGAATGTGTGTATCCCCTTCTATTCCTCCTCAGCTTAGTACCATAGTTAAGAGCCTGAATTCTGGAGTCAGGCTGCCATGATTAGATACCAGCTCTCCTACTTAAAAGCTTTGTGACCATAAGCAAGTTACTTAACCTCTCTGTGCCTCAGTTGCCTTATCTGTAAAATGGGAAATATAATAGTACCTACCTCATAAACTTGAAATTAAATGAGTTTATATATGTAAAATACCCAGAATAATGCCAGGCACTATAAGCACCATATGAATATGATCTATTATGATGATGTTGATGATAATAAAGAACATCACTATTCAGAAGATATTCCCCAATGTTTATGCATAAGAAATCCATACCAAATCATATCCAGAATATATAAATATTTGCATTATGAGCAGAGAAAACCTAAAACAAACTGTAGGTCTCTTCAGTGTTCATTTATGGTATGGAAAAATGCATTTCTCAAGTAAATCATCTTGGAAAAGTCCTCTTTAAAGCTACGAAAATTAAAATAAATTCTACTCTGCCTAGTGTGTATTTGAGATATTTGGAAGACAATGTATTCTTGATACTGATTCAGGTTACACTCTGGACTGAGGAATGGCAGAACTCAAAACCTCTTATCATTTTATCATTGATGCAACTGAACAATCAGAACGGTAGAGCCAGAAGCAACCTTAGAGATTAACTAGTCATTTGTTCTGATTTAATTGGTTGTTGATTTCTGCATGAAGTGATCACATTAGACAAAAAGAGCTACCAGCTTAAACATTTAATAGATAAGTAATTAATTTAACTGAGACACTTCTGTGGAAATCACAAATACCATCTGCAGCTTCTCCTTTGGAAGCTGGTAATGTATTTTTGCTGAAGGGCTTTTTGTTTTTGTTTTTCACTATTCCTGAAAAGGTAATAGCAGCCTTCCTTTGTACCAATAGATTTGGTAACATTGTGAGTTATCATGCCCTCTATTTGGATGGCACTATATAATCAAATGAACATTTTATTGAAAACTCACTATGCATGAGGCCTTGTGATGGATGCTTTTATATGATGTCGTCTTTAATTCTCACAGTAATTTTATGGAGTCTTGGACAGGTCTTGGGGCTACTGTTCTTGGATCCCACCTCACCCTCCCTCTGCTCTGTCAGTGTTACAGGGAGACTGCAGCCTCTCCTGGCCACTGGTTCTGGGTCGGGTCTGGGCATTCAGGCACTGATGGAGGTGAGGGTGGAGAGAGGAGCCAATCTGTTTCTCTGCTCCCCCTCTGCCTTGGGCTGCATCTTCTCTATGGCTCCAGCTCCCAGGACTGGCAGGCCATGGTTCAAACTTCCACTTGGTGGCTCCACTGGAGGTTCCAAAATAACTAAGGTTCTCTCCTCCCTTAGTCCCTCCAGTCAAGGGATGGTGAAACTCCCTGCTCTTGCTCATGACTGGATTACCCCATTGTCTGCTGTTTGGCTTATAATCTTCATCACCTGTATAACCAGTTCCCTGTGCTACATTCCCTCTATTAAACATATTCGAAATAATTTCTGTGTTCTTGTTCAGACCCCAATTTATAGAGTTTCATATATTTAATTATAGCTGCTTTTTTAATAGAAGAGGAAACTGAGGATCATACTGGCTAAATGTCACAATATTAAGCTCAATATCACAAATCTACTATTTAAATCAAAAAGTCTTCATACTCCTAAGCTCATACATACTTTTTCTGCTATTATGCTTTAGTGTCTTTATAACTGTCTAGAAAGGAGAATTCTTATTATGGGGAAATCTTTCTTGGATCATTAGTATCATGATGGGTTTTCCTACAGTCCTGTGTTAGTCCAACTGGATTGAAGACCCAGAGGATGGGTTTGAAGGTCAATATCTGACATGTCTCCAGAGAAAGAATTATTAGGCCTCGGGCAGCAGATCAGAAAGATGCTCTTTTGTATGTCTACTGAAATTTGGTCTTTCAGGAAATCCTCCACAGATCCATGGAGCCACCAAGTTCTGGCTACTCATTTAGGACAGATGATGAAATCCTGAAATAGTTTGGGTGTTTGTCCCCTCCAAATCTCATGATGAAATGTAATCCCTAGTGTTGGAGGTGGGGCCTGGTGAGAGGTGTTTTAGTCATGGGAGTGGATCCCTTGTGAATGGCTTGGTGCTGCCCTTGTGATCCTGAGTTCTTGTTTAAAAGTGTGTGACACCTCCCTCCTTCCTCTCTTGCTCCCACTCTCACCATATGACATGCTGGCACCTCTTCGCCCTCCACGCCGATTGTAAGCTTCCTGAGGCCTCACCAGAAGCAGATGCCAGTACTTTGTTTTGTGTACAGCCGGCAGGACCATGAGCCAATTAAACCTCTTTATAAATTACCCAGCCTCAGGTATTTCTTTTTAGCAACACAAAAATGGCCTGATACAATTCCCTTTGTTCCAATGTGAATAGAAAATTGAGATGTTTCTGGCCAGGCGCAGTGGCTCATGCCTGTAATCCCAGCACTTTGGGAGGCTGAGGCAGGAGGATCACGAGGTCAAGAGATTAAGACCATCCTGGCCAACATGGTGAAACCCTGTCTCTACTAAAAATACAAAAATTAGCTGGGTGTGGTGGCGCATGCCTGTAGTCCCAGCTACTCAGGAGGCTGAGGCAGGAGAATCACTTGAACTGGGCAGGCGGAGGTTGCAGTGAGCTGAGATCATGCCACTGCATTCCAGCCTGGTGACAGATCGAGACTCTACCTCAAAAAAAAAAAAAAATTGAGGTGTTTCTGACCTTGAATTATTGAATTTGATCAAAATCTGGAGAGAGATACTCTTAAATTATCATGAAATCCCACCCACAATCAAATACTTTGGACTTTATCATAATTTTAGGCTTAATTTTTAGACTCCTTTCATAAGAATAAATCATAGGCTAAAATGTTTTTAGTCTGAACAACTGAAGGAATGAGCATAGCATTACTTTACTTGTGGGGACTCTTGTGAAGAAGTTGGCAGTCAAAGAAGAACAAATAAAATGTTGAACCAGCAGTAGAAGAATAACCTCCAATTTCTCTCTTTTTGCTCAATAGTAAGAATAATAGTGGAGAATGTTGAAGTCTAGGGGAAGGGGTGTCTGTGTGTGGGTGTGTGTGCATATGTGTAGGGGGAAGGGATACAATGAGGAGCCATCAAAGAGTGAATGACTTAATCATGTGTTAAGGAAAATAGGTAAAAATGTGTTGGTTGAACATAGCAATAAGGAAGAGGATCTGGATGAAGGATGCTTTTATGATGCTATTAATATATTTTATATATATAGCATTGTTTTATATATATATATATATATATATATATATATATATATATAATAATGCTATTATATAGTTAAGAAAGGTAACAAAAATTTGAACTACCTGACTTTGGAATAGCAGCTACTAGTAGATGCACAAGATGATGAAGATGTGGGATTGATAAGATTTGCTAATTTATTGGGATAGAAATGAGGGAGGAGAAAACAATTGAAGATGATTCTGAGACTTGAAGTCTTCATGACTTTCCTTTTTTCATATAATATTCAACCCAAGTAACTTTTTATACGGTTATGGAATTTTCATATTGCTATGGGAACCTGGTTGGTCCTCAGTCTTCCCTTTGTTGAGCAAAGAGCCTGGTGCTGTAGTTCCATCTGTAGCACAAAGAGCACCCAAGAGCTTCTGAAGTCATCAGGATGCTGACCCTGTATGGAGACCATAGCATGGCAAGTAAGTGGGGCACTTTACTTAGCATACTCCTCCACTTCAGTCAGACTGGTCTATGCACTGCCCTGGGGGCAGACCATGCTCTTTCTGCCCTCTGAGTCTTTGCCTCAGTCACACACATCTGCCAAGATATAAACTATGGCTAAATCATTTGGTATCTACATGCCAACGAGGCTTCAATATCCTCTGTCTGCCTATATTTACATGTAGAATGAGTCCTATATTATGGATCCTACGCCTTCCTAGAAACTTGAAACATTGATAACATTCTAATAGCAACGGTGGTCATAGGTTATGTAATAGCAACAGCGTTCATAGGTTATGTCCTTCCATGGGGTCAAATATCTTCCTGGGAAACAGTAATTACAAACCTGCTATCAGCTATTCTGTACATTGGAACAGACCTAGTACAATGGATCTGAGGTGGCTTTTCAGTTGACAAAGCCACCCTTACAGGATTCTTTCTTTTCCATTTTATTCTATCTTTCATTATTACAGCCCTACTAGCTGTTCACCCCCTACTCCTACATGAAACAGGTTCCAACAACCCTTTGGAAATTTCATTAGACTCTGATAAAATCCCATTACACCCTTATTGCATGATTAAAGATATTTTAGGCCTAGTCCTACTTGTCCTGCTCCTCCTAATACTAGTGTATTCTCACCTGACCTGCTAGGAGACCCAGACAACTACATCCCAGCAACCCTCTCAACACTCCACCCCATATTAAGCCAGAATAATACTCCTTATTTGCCTATTCAACCCACAGTGAATGGCTACAAATCCATGGGAGTTTACAGATATTTTTAGATTTCTGGTACATCCTTATAAGGTAAGAATTTTGTACAGGGTCAGGCAAGGGATGAGGAAATTATCTACCTCAGAGCCACCTTAGGTGATGGGTAAGCCTTGAAGGATGGTTCTCATACCTAGCATATTCCTCCACTTCAGTCAGACTGGTCTGTGTACCACCCTGAGGGCAGACCACGCTCCTTCTGCCTTTTGGGTCTTAGTCCTCTCACCTGCAGGACCTGCTGCTCCTCCCTGCCAGTCAAATTTCCCCAAGCCTGCAGAGCCTGAGTGCCTCCTGGTTGCTGCCCTACACCCTCTTAAATAATTCATTTTCCTTTAAACAATCACAGTCTACATATTTCATTTTGTTTTATACTTTATTATATATTACATTTTATTATGCTTTAATTTCTCCAATTATGTTAGTCTAATCTTTCAAACTAGATCACAAACTCTTTGAAGGAAGAACTATTTCTTACTCTTTATTATCCCCCATGATGCCTAGTACGGAGTGAATACTTGTTGAATAATTAATTTAGTGTGAAAAATTAGCCCCATCTTCTCCTAGCCACTTTATCTACTTGATTACCTTCTTCTTTAGCTACTGGATTGCAACCAAGCATATGGACATGCAGTACAGGTTCTGAATACTGAAACATTTCTTGCAGGCAAAAGAAGGCTGTGACCAAAGAGAACTCCAGATATGGTAGTGAGCAGGGAGGGGAAAGAAAGAAAAATGCATTTAGAAACACAACTTCTTATTTGACCTGAGTGAACTTGTTTGCTAGAAGTTACCGAAAAGCAAAGGTGCTCAGAACAATGATCAGTCCATCTTCAGACTCTAGTATGTTTTAGAACAATAGAAAATGACATAGGCCAAGAAATTCTTCGTGGGACATTTGGGTAAAAAGTGTTTTCTGCTTTAAGCATGTAGATTTAAGAATATTAGCTTCTATGTAAGTACAAGAGACCAGCAGGTTTACTGAGCTGGGAATGTTATGGCAACTTCTACCTACAAGTTGAATTTTTCATCATAAATGTAGATGTAGGTATTTTAAATTACACTACAAAAATGACGAAACTGATACCTAGAGAGTTTAAGTAACTTAACATCAATAAATCACCTTTTTCAAGAAGTCTTCTCTAAACTTCAGGATAAATTAAGCATTGTTATATCTCCCATAGTAATTTGTGACTATCTTTATTGTACTACATATTATTTTTTTAAAATTATTTTTAATTATTATAGATAAATAGCTGTACATACTTATGAGATACATGTGTTATTTTGATACAACCATACAATGTGTAATGATCAAATCAGAGTAATTAGTATTCACTCCGTACTAGGCATCAGGGGGGATAATAAGGAGTAAGAAATAGTTCTTCCTTCAAAGAGTTTGTGATCAAGTATTTGGCATTTCTTTGGGTTAGGAACATTCCAATTCTATAGTTTTTGTTATTTTGAAATATACAATAAATTATTAACTGTAGTCATCCTATTGTGCTACCTAACACTAGATATTTTTTCTATCTAACTGTGTTTTTGTACTCATTAACCATCCCCTTTCTACCCCGCGTCCCTTCCAACTACCCTTTCCAGTCTCTGATAAGCATCATTCTACTCTCTCTTTCCATGAGTTTAATTTGTTCTTTTTTTTTAGCTCCCATATTAGTGAGAACATAGAATATTTGTCTTTTTGTGCCTGGCTTTTTTCACCTAACATACTGTCTCTAGTTCCATCCATGTTGTTACAAATGACAAGATTTTATTCTCTCTAGTGGCTGTAAAATATTATATTGTGTGTATGTAACACATTTTCGTTATCCATTCATCTGCCAACGTACACTTAGATTGATTATGTACCTTGGCTATTGTGAATAGTGCTGCAATAAACATGAGAATACAGATATCTCTTCCATATACTGATTTCCTTTCTTTTGGATATATACCCAGTAGTGGGATTGCTGGATCACATGATAGTTATATTTTTAGCTTTTTGAGGAACCTGCATACTGTTCTCCATAGTCGTTGTGCTAGTTTATGTTTCCACCAACACCTTTCTCTACATCCTCACAAGTATTCATTATTGCCTGTATTTTGGATAAAAGCCAATTAAACTTGGGTGAGATGATATCTCAGTATAGTTTTAATTTGCATTTCTCTGATAAGTAGTGCTGTTGAATATTTTTTCATATAACTATTGGCCATGTGTATGTCTTCTTCTGAGAAATGTCTATTCAGATCTTTTGGCCATTTTTTTCTTTTTTCTTTTTTTAAAAATGTGGCAAAAGGATCTTTTTTTTAATCTTCAACTTTTATTTTAAGGTCAGGGGTACGTGTGCAGGATGGGCAGGTTTGCTACATAGGTAAACATGTGCCATGGTGGTTTGCTGCACAGGTCATCCCATCAGCTAGGCATTAAGCCACATGCATTAGCTATTCTTCCTGATGCTCTCCGTCGTCTTTGACCAGCAGGTCCCAGTGTATGTTGTTCCCCTGCATGTGTCCATGTGTTGTCATCATTCATCTTCCAGCTTTAAGTGAGAATATATGGTGTTTAGTTTTCTGTTCCTGCATTCGTTTGCTGAGGATAACAGCTTCCAGCTCCATCCACATCTCTGCAAAGGACATGATCTTGTTCCGTTTTATGGCTGCATAGTATTCCATGGTGTATATATACCACATTTTCTTTATCCAGTCTATCATTGATGGGCATTTGGGTTGAGTCCATGACTGCTATTGTGAATAGTACTGCAGTGAACATACATGTGCATGTATCTTTATAATAGAATGATTCACATTCTTTGGGGTATATACCCAGTAATGGGATTGCTGGGTCAAATGGTATTTCTGCCTCTAGATACTTGAGGAATTGCTACGCTGTCTTCCACAATGGTTGAACTAATTTAGACTCCTACCTGCAGTGTAAAAGCCTTCCTTTTTCTCTACAACCTCACTGGCATCTGTTGTTTTTTCACTTTTTAATAACTGCCATTTTGACTGGTATGAGATGGTATCTCATTGTGGTTTTGATTTGCATTTCTGTAATGATCAGTGATGTTGAGCTTTTTTTCAGATGTTTGTTGGCTGCATAAATGTCTTCTTTTGAGAAGTGTCCATTCAGTTCATGTCGTTTGTCCACTTTTTTATGGGGTTGGGGTGTTTCTGTAAATTTGTTTAAGTTCCTTGAAGACTCTGCTTAGACCTTTGTCAGGTGGCTAGATTGCAAAAATTTTCTCCCATTCTGTAGGTTGTCTGTTCACTCTGATGATAGTTTCTTTTGCTGTGCAGAAGCTCTTTAGTTTAATTAGCTCCTATTTGACAATTTTTGCTTTTGTTGCGATTGCTTTTGGTGTTTTCTTCATGAAATCTTTGCCCGTGCCTATATCCCGAATGGTATTGCCTAGATTTTCTTTTGGGGTTTTTATAGTTTTGGGTTTTACATTTAAGTCTTTGGTCCATTTTGATTTAATTTTTGTATAAGATGTAAGCAAGGGGTCCAGCTTCAATTTTCTGTATGTTTGCCCATTTTTAATTCGATTTTTTTTCTATTGAGTTCTTTATTCTGGTTATTAATCCCTTGTCAGATGCATAGTTTGCAAATATTCATATTTTCTCCCATTCTGTGTATTGTCTCCTCACCTCACTGATGGCTTCTTTTGCTGTATAAAAGCTTTTTAGCTTGATGTAATCTCATTTGTCCATTTTTTTGCTTTGGTTGCCTGTGCTTTTGAGTTCTTATTCCAGAAATCTCTAACCAGAACAATGTCCTGGAAAGTTTCTCCAATGTTTTCTTGTAGTAGTTTCATGGTTTGAGGTCTTATATTTAAGTATTTACTCCACTTCTATTTGCTTTTTGTATATGGTGAGGGATAGTGGTCTAGTTTCATTCTTCTGCATGGGTATTCAATTTTCCCAGCACCATTTATTGATGAGGCTGTCCTTTCCCCAAGGTATGTTCTTGGCACCTTTGTCAAAAATAAGTTGACTGTAAATGCATGGATTTCTGGATTCTCTATTCTGTTCCATTGGTCTACATGTCTGTTTTTATGCCAGTACCATGCTATTTTGATTACTATAGCTTTGTAGTGGTATTTGAAGCGAGGAAATTGATGTGATTCCACCAGTTTTGTTCTTTTTGCTCAGGATTGGTTTGGCTATTCTGGATCTTTATGGTTCTATATACATTTTAAGATTGTTTCCTTCTATTTCTGTGAAGAATGTCATTGGTATTTTGATGGGGATTGCATTGAATCTGTAGATTGTGTTGGGTAGTATGGACATTTTAAAAATAGTGATTCTTCCAATCCATGAACATTGAATATCTTTCCTTTTTTGTGTCCTCATCAATTTATTTCATCAATGTTTATAGTTCTTGTTGTAGATAACTTTCACTTCTTTGGTTAAATTTATTCTTAGGTATATGTTTTTATTTGTAGCTATTCTAAATAAGATTACTTTCTTGGTTTCTTTTTCAGATTGTTTGCTGTTGGCATATAGAAATTCCACTGACTTTTGTATGTTGATTTTGCGTCCTGAAACTTTACTGAATTTGCTTATTAGTTCTAATAGTTTTTTTGTGGAATCTTTAGGTTTTTCTAAATATAAGATCATATCATCTCAAACAAGGATGATTTTAACTTTTTCCTTTCCAATGTGGATGCCTTTTGTTTATTTCTGTTGCCTAATTGCCCTGGCTAGGACTTACAGTACTGTGTTGAATAAAAGTGATTAAAGTGGGCGTTCTTGTCTCATTCCAGATTTCAGAGGAAAGGCTTTCAGTGTTTTCCCCATTCAGTATGACACTAACTGTGGGTTTATTGTATGTGGCTTTTATCATGTTGAGGTATGTTCTTTCTATACCCAGTTGTCTGAGAGATTTTATCATGAAGGATGTTGAACTTTATTGGATGCCTTTTCAGCGTTTAATGAAATGATCGTATGGTGTTTGTTTGTTATGGGACAGGGTCTCAGTCTGTTATCTGGGCTAGAGTGGAGTGGTGTGATCACAACTCACGACAACCTTGACTTACTGGTTTCAAGCAGGGCTCCCACCTCAGCCTCCAAGTATCTGGGACTACAGGCATGCACCACCATGCCTGGCTAATTTTTGTATTTTTTTTCTAGACACAAAGTTTGAAACCAAGCTGGTTTCAAACTCCTGGGTTCAAGTGATCTGCCTGACTTGATATCCCAAAGTGCTGTTACTACAGGCATGAGTCATTGCACCCGGTCGATCATATGTTTTTTGTCCTTTATTCTATTGATATGATGTGTCACGTTGATTGATCTGCTTATGTTGAACCATCCTTGCATCCTTGGGATGAATCCCACTTGATCATGATGAATGATGTTTTCACTGTGTTGCTCAATTTAGTTTGCTAGTATTTTGTTGAGGATGTTTGCATCTATGTTCATCAGGGATATTGACCTCTAGTTTTCTTTTATTGTTGTGCTTTTGTCTGGTTTTGGTATTAAGGTAATACCAACCTTGTAGAATGAGTTTGGATAGATTTCCCTCCTCCTCGATTTTTTTTTGAATAGTTTGAGTAGGATTGGTGTAAGTAATTCTTTAAATGTTTGTTAGAATTCAGTGGTGAAGCCATAAAATCCTGGGCTTTACTTTGATGGGAGACTTTTTTTATTATTGCTTGTATCTCATTACTTGTTATTTGTCTATTCAGGTTTTGGATTTCTTTATGGTTCAATCTTGGTAGGTTGTATGTGTCTAGGAATTTATCCATTTCTTATAGACATTCCCATGTATTGGCATATAGTTTCTCATAATAGTCTGTAATGATACTTCAAATTTCTGTGGTATCAGTTATAATGTCTTTCTTTTCATTTCGATTTTATTTACTTGGGTCTGCTCTCTTTTTTTCGTAGTTAATCTTGCTAAAGGTTTGTCAAGTTTGCTTATGTTTTCAAAAAAACAATTTTTCATTTTGTGGGTGTTTAGTATTTTTTTAGTCTCAATTTTATTTATTTTTACTCTGATCTTTATTTCTTTATTTCTAATGATTTTGAATTTGGTTTGCTCTTGCTTTTCTAGTTCTTCATTAAGGTGCATTATTAGGTTGTTTATTTAAAGCTTTTCTCCCTTTTTGATGTAGATGTTTATTGCTATAAGCTTCCCTCTTACCTCTGCTTTTGCTATATCCCATAGATTTTGGTACATTGTGTTTTCATTTTTCATTTGATTCAAAAAATTTTTTAAATTTTCTTTTTAATTTCTTCATTGACCTAATGGTTGTTCAGGATCATATTATTTGATTTCCATGTGTTTATACAGTTTCCAAAGTTCCACTTGTTATTGATTTCTAGTTTGGTTTTATCATATTTAGAAAACATACTTGGTATGATTTTATTTGTTTTGAATTTTTTTAGACTCGTTTTGTGGCTTAACATATGATCTATCCTTGAGAATGTTCAATGTACCAATGAGAAGAATGAATATTTTGTAGCTATTGGATGAAATATTCTGTAAATAGCTATTAGGTTCATTTGGTCCATAGTGTAGATAAAGTTCAGCGTTTCTTTGTTGATTTTCTGTATATATGATTATCCAATGCTGAAAGTTGGGTGTTGAAATTCTCAGCTAATTTTGCATTGGGGTATATGCCTCTCTTTAGCTTTAATAATATTTGCTTTGTATATCTGAGTGCTCCAGCATTTGACTTATATATAATTAGAACTGTTATATCTTCTTGCCGAATTGGCCCCTTTATCATTTAATAATGACCTTGTCTCTTTTTACAGTTTTGGTCTGGAAATATATTTTATGTGATATAAATGTAGAGCTACTTTTGCTGTTTTCTGGTTTACATTTGTATGAAATATTTTTTCCCACCTTTTATTTTCAGTCTATGCATGTCTTTATAGGTGGAGTGATTTTCTTGTAGGCAACATATGGTTGAGTCCTATTTTTATCCATTCAGCCACTCTGTCTTTGGATGGGAAAATATAGTTCATTTACATTCAATGTTATCATTGAAGGTAAGGACTTCACTATTGCCATTTTCTTTTCTGGTTGTTTTGTTGGTCCTCTTCCTTTCTTTCTTCCTTCTTGTCTTCCTTTGTGTAACAGTGATTTTCTCTGGTAGTATTTTTTTAATTTCTTGCTTTTTATTTTTTGTGTATCTACCATAGGTTTAAGTCTTGTGGTTGCCACAAGGCTTACAAATAACATCTTATAACCAATTATTTTAAGCTGATGACAACTTAACTCTGCTTACAAACAAGCAAAGAGAAAACTGAAACACTCCACATTTTAATTCCTATCCTGCTTTTAGACTTTTTCTTGTCTCTTTTTATGTCTTTTATGTTGTCTATCACTTAAAAAGCAGTCATAGTTGTTATTTTTGGTAGGTTTATCTTTTACTCTTCTTGCTGAAGTGCTTTCTTTTATGGATAATTGTTCAATTTGGTGTTCCTGTGGGGAGACAATTGCTAGAGAGTATTTTTCAGCCATCTTGCTCCACCCCTACATATTATTTTATATAATAAATATAATAATATAATCGCTTTATATTTTTGCCTCATCTGTTTGATCACAGCCTCCTTGGGGGCAAGGAAAGTTCAGGTTCTAAGTCTAGTGTTTTTTTTTTTTCTATATTACATTTACCCTACCATTTCACATATGTCATGGACCTTGGATTTTAAAACACAGAATGTCCTTCTGTTATTGATAATAATTACCAGCTTTATTATATAGTAAAGGTTACTTAATGTGTCCTTCGTCTCTATGAAAGGGAGTATTTATAATTTTTTTAATGAGATAACCACCTCATTGCATTTTAATTGCCAGGGATCCTCTGTTTGTAAAAGTCAACATCAAAAGAAGATATCTTATAGTTATAATTGCTCCTTGGCAGAAAGGTTACCACGGATGCTGGAGAACATTCATGGTTAATTTTGTAAAACCATGGCTAATGGGACAAATCACTCAGCCATGGAGACTGTGCAAGCTGAAAGAATATAAAGAGCTGCAAAGGGAGAAGCAGGTTATGGGCTCTGTCCCTGGGCTTCCGAGAGGTTCATGTCAAAGAGAAAGCAGGCAGATGTGACTCACTCAGTCAGCTGTGGGTGGTGGTGGCCTCAGCTGTCACAGCTGGGCTGACATCAGCAACATGTGATTGATATCAGTGCAAAGGCAGCTCCCAGCCAGCCAGGAGTGTGTGGCAGGAACAACCAGGGCTTGAATCCTGTGAACAACCAGGGCTTGAAAGTCTTCTGTTGGGGACAACAAATAGGAGCAGTGAACCCTCTCTTGCCTCCCAAAGTCTGACTAGGCTCAGGGACTTGGAGAGTTCATCTCAGAGGTGTTGTGACTTGTCCTAGATGACACAGAACATTAGAGGTCAGGCTGGGACTAGCAACTGGATCATCAAACTCCCAGGCCAATGCTGTCTTCATAGACCGCCCAGAAAAGGAAGACATGAGCAGATTTTTAAGAAGTTGTAAAATCAGGTTAAAATCAACCTGACACTTGAACAGCTTGCTTCTTCAAAACAAAAAAATGGTCTTTCAGGTATTCAGTAACTGCAGTGATTTGACACAGCAGCTTATCATTATTTCCTAGAGGTGATTCTTGTAGTTTAACCCAGAGAAATATTTCAGTAGTGCAGTCATCATGTATTTGCTGATCTTTATTGATGTATAAGAAACAACAGCAGTGATACATGCAAAAAGGAGATTTAATTGGGGAATCTTTTCCCATGTAAGCAACACTGTGCCATTCAAACAAGAAGCAGTAGTGCATAATTAAATCTATAATCATTGAAAAAATCATTTTAAAAGATAATAAACAGCTTGAATTTGGTAAACACTTCACTTATTCAAAATACTTTGATGAATTCTATCTCATTTGATCTTCACAGCTACTTCTGTATAACTTAGGAGAAAGTAGTAGTCACCTATTTTGTAGATGAAGAATCTGAAACCAGAGCACCTTGGCAATTTGCCCACAATTACACAGCGGTTACTACTAGAGCCAGGACTAGAATCTTGATTCTTTATTTAGTGCTTTTGTGTAATAAAGTTCACAATGTCCTATCTGAAATTTTGAAATACAAACAATAGCCTAAGTTTATTTATTTTTTTCTTTTCTAACTTATTTGATGGTAAAACTACCTGTTCTGAATGACTTTTGGTAACAAAACCTGTTTTGAGATGACAGGAAGCTCTGTGTTGTTCTCTTTAGGGAGAAGATTCATGTTTCAGAGCAGAAATGTTAATGCGTTCAGTTACAGGATGCTGCCCCAGACCAGTGTGTTCTGTTTGTTATATGAACCATATTGTCTTTCTAAAGTCCAAAAATTTTCTGAATTCAAAAGCGCATCTGAACAGAAGAGCTTTGGATAATAATTGAAGTAGACTGCCTGTGTCTTCTTCTAGTGAGGAAATGAGATGTTTACATTAATTAGATATTCTGGTTTATAGTCACCATAGGTACAATATGTGTATTGCTAATATTGAACAAATGAGACTGTGATGAAATCCCCTTAATATTGACTCAGCAGTTGTTGTGAGGGTTAAATAAAATAATTCAGGCAAATCAATTGGCATAGTGTCTGGTTCATAGGACATATTTCATAACTAGAGTGTTAACTGCTATCTTTCTTAATAAACTTTGTATCCTCGTATCACAGATGAGGAAATGGTAATAGGCAGAGAGGTTAAGTAACGTGCCCGAGGCCACACAGCTAGTAAATGACACCACCAGAACTGGACACCCAGGCTACCTCTCACACTCAAAGCATATGTATAACCAGTAGGGTATATATTTTCTTGGATCTTTCAAGAGGCTGTAGAAATCCTTCCAGATCATCATTATGAAAATTAATTACCAAATCATTGGACTGTAGCATGTGGAAGTGCTGTTTAATAGCCTGCTGGTTAGGCCAGATTTTGCTGGCTAAGGAGAGAGAGGGGGAGAGGGAGAGAGGGGAAAAGGAAGAGGAAGGGAGAAAGAGACAGAGAAGGATTAAACTAATAGAAAATACCTTACAAATGAAAAAATTGGAATGAGCATAGAGCAATTGGGAAATCTCTATTCTAGAGAATTATTACCAGTTCAGTCACTCCCTTGGATGGATTGAATGAAGTCTTTCTGGGAATTAGATCAAAGAGAAAGCACTCTCAGGGCTTTTCCCAAAATTCTGTGGATCAGGTTGATGAAACTTATGGTTGGGGGAAAATAATTTTGTGTTTAGATAATGAGAATTTCCTCCACTCCCACCCATTCCTGGCTTTTCTCCCTGTGGCTTTTTTGCCTACTTGGTTTCCTTACTCTGAACCTAGGAACTATCTTTTTTTAACCATGCTTTGGAGGGGAGTGCCTGCCCTTTGAAGGTGGGGGAGGCAGGTGGGCCCAGAGAGGAGAGGGCAAGCACAGAAGGCAGCAACACAGGAGATGAGAGGAGAGCAACGTTTGCCTCAAAAATGGATTCTGATCCCGAAGCAGCTTTCCTGCGACTACCCCCGTCCCAGACGGTGAGAGGAGAACTTGAGAGCCTGGTGCTTGTGGTCTGTCAGAACAGGCTGGCAAGAAAGTGAGCCCCTGGGAAGCTAAGCCTGACATTAAAAGGACTCGGTCTATCCTGTTGGCAGCTGCTGCAGCTCACCCTTGTGCGGTGTGGCCTCAGCGCATGTCTGGCTTTATTTGCTATTTGGGGCGCGGCACTTGAAAGGTGCCCCCTCCCCCAGACTCCTTGACATTTGTCCAGAGATTAATTGAGCTAATCCCCTTCTTGGAAGAATAGGTTGGGAAGTCTGTGTTCAGGGAGGGTAGGGAGGCAGGCTGGGACTGAAGAGGCATGCATTAATAAGGGTGCTAGGGCTTGCTGGACCCTTTGAAGGAAGAAAAGCAAATTTCTCTGCTGTTCCTGGACGAGGCTGACAGGTGGGCAGGGAGACTGCAGTTTCTGTGTTTCGCCTGGCTTTGCCAGAAGGTCTGTGCGCACCAGCAATAACGACTCTTGACAGCACCAGCTGTCACTCAGGGATGAATTACTCCCAGGACACCTTGGCCTGCCATTCTCATCTCTTGTACTAAGGGCAGAAGGTGAGAGCCCCAAGACAGGCTATCCTGACAGGGGAGGCACATATTACTTGAATACTTGTCTGGGATGGTTAGAAAAAGTGCATTTAAATTTTGTTTTGAATTAGACATTAAAATTAAACATCATTTATTATTTTGTATTTTTGATGGAGGGACGAAGACAGGGGAACATGAACATTGTTTTCTTATGCTGTGTGCAACTGTCCATATTTTGGGAGGGGACACAAAGCTTTTCACCTTACCGTACAATAATCATAGCTAGAATTGGCAGGGTACTATCATTTCTGCCTGTAATCCCAGCATTTTGGGAGGCCAACGTGGGAGGATCATTAGAAGCCAGGAGTTCAAAACCAGCCTGGGCAACATAGGGTGTGTCTCTACAAAAAATAAAATAAACTTAGCCAGATGTGGTGGCATGTACTTATAGTCCTAGATACTTGGGAGGCTAAGGTGGGAGGATCACTTAAGCCCAGAAGTTTGAGGCTGCAGTGAGCAGAGATTGTGCTACTACACTCTGGCCTGGGTGACAGAGTAAGACCTTGTCTCTAAAAATAGTAGTAACAACAATAGCTAGCATTTATTGAGTTGTTGTGTTCTAAGCATTTTATATGTATTAATTCTTCTTTCTTTTTAAACTATACTGTAAGTTCTGGGATACATGTGCAGAACATGCAGGTTTGTCACATAGGTATACTCGTGCCATGGTGGTGTGCTGCACCCATCAACCTGTCATTTACATTAGGTATTTATCCTAATGCTATCCCTCCCCTAGCCCCCCACCCCTCAACAGGCCCCAGTGCGTGATGTTTCCCTCCCTGTGTCCATGTGTTCTCATTGTTCAACTCCCACTTATGAGTGAGAAGATGCGGTGTTTGGTTTTCTGTTCTCATGTTACTTTGCTTAGAATGATGATTTCCAGCTTCATCCGTGTTCCTGCAAAGCACATGAACTCATTCTTTTTTATGGCTGCTTAGTATTCCATGGTGTATATGTGCCACATTTTCTTTATCCAGTCTATAATTGATGGGCATTTGGGTTGGTTCCAAGTCTTTGCTATTGTGAATGGTGCTGCAATAAACATACGTGTGTGTGTGTGTTTTTATAGTAGAATGATTTATAATCCTTTGGGTATATACCCAGTAATGGGATTGCTGGGTCAAATGGTATTTCTGGTTCTAGATCCTCGAGAAATTGCCACATTGTCTTCCACAATGGTTGAACTAATTTACATTCTCACCAACAGTATAAAAGCATTCCTATTTCTCCACATCCTCTCCAGCATCTGTTGTTTCCTGACTTTTTAATGATCGCCATTCTAACTGGCGTGAGATGGTATCTTATTGTGGTTTTGATTTGCATTTCTCTAATGACCAGTGATGATGAATTTTTTTCATATGTTTCTTGGCTGCATAAATGTCTTCTTTTGAGAAATGTCTGTTCATATCCTTTGCCCACTTTTTGATGGTTTTTTGTTTGTTTGTTTTTGTTGTTGTTTTTGTTTTGAGAGAAGTCTCGCTCTTGTCCCCTGGGCTTGAGTGCAATGGCTCGATCTCAGCTCATTGCAACCTCCACCTCCCGGGTTCAAATGATTCTCCTGCCTCTACCTCCCAAGTAGCTGGGATTAAGGCACCTGCCACCATGCCCAGCTAATTTTTGTATTTTTTAGTAGAGACAGGGTTTCACCATATTGGCCAGGCTGGTCTCAAACTCCTGACCTCAGGTGATCTGCCCGCCTCAGCCTCCCAAAGTGCTGGAATTATAGGCGTGAGCCACTGTTCCTCGACTGTTTGTTTGTTTTTTTCTTGTAAATTTGTTTAAGTTCCTTGTAGATTCTGGGTATTAGCCCTTTGTCCGATGGATAAATTGCAGAAATTTTCTCCCATTCTGTAGGTTGCCTGTTCACTCTGATGATAGTTTCTTTTGCTGTCCAGAAGCTCCTAGTTTAATTAGATCCCATTTGTCAATTTTGGGTTTTGTTGCCATTGCTTTTGGTGTTTTAGTCATGAACTCTTTGTCCATGCCTATGTCCTAGGTTTTCTTCCAGGGTTTTTATGGTGTTAGGTCTTACATTTAAGTATTTAATCCGTCTTGAGTTGCTTTTTGTATAAGGTGTAAGGAAGGGGTCCACTTTCAGTTTTCTGCATATGGCCAGCCAGTATTCCCAACACCATTTATTAAATAGGGAATCATTTCCCCATTGCTTGTTTTTGTCAGATTTGTTAAAGATTAGATGGTTGTAGATGTGTAGCATTATTTCTGAGGCCTCTATACTGTACCATTGGTCTATATATCTGTTTGGGTACCAGTACCATGGTGTTTTTGTTACTATAGCCTTGTAGTGTAGCTTGAAGTCAGGTATCATGATGCCTCCAGCTCTGTTCTTTTTGCTTAGGATTTTCTTGGCTATACGGGCTCTTTTTTTGGTTTCATATGAAATTTAAAGTAGTTTTTTCTAATTCTGTGAAAAAAGTCAGTCGTATCTTGATGGGGATAGCATTGAATCTAAAAATTACTTTGGGCAGTATGGCCATTTTCACGATATTGATTCTTCCTATCCGTGAGCATGGAATGTTTTTCCATTTGTTTCTGTCCTCTCTTATTTCCTTGAGCAGTGGTTTGTAGTTCTCCTTGAAGAGGTCCTTCACATCCCTTGTAAGTTGTATTCCTAGATATTTTATTCTCTTTTTAGCAATTGTGAGTGGGAGTTCACTCATGATTTGGCTCTCTGTTTGTCTGTTATTGGTGTATAGGAATGCTTGTGATTTTTGCACATTGATTTTGTATTCTGAGACTTTGCTGAAGTTGCTTATCAGCTTAAGGAGTTTTGGGGCTGAGATGATGGGGTTTTTAAATATACAATCATGTCATCTGCAAGCAGAGACAATGTGACTTCCTCTCTTCCCATTTGAATACCCTTTATTTCTTTCTCTTGCCTGATTTCCCTAGCCAGAACTTCCAATACTATGTTGAATAGGAGTGGTGAGAGAGGGCATCCTTGTCTTGTGCTGGTTTTTGAAGGGAATGCTTCCAGCTTTTGCCCATTCAGTATGATATTGGTTGTGGGTCTGACATAAATATCTCTTATTATTTTGAGATATGTTCCATCAATACCTAGTTTATTGAGAGTGTTTAGCATGAAAGGGTGTTGAATTTTATCAAAGGCCTTTTCTGCATCCATTAAGATAATCATGTGGTTTTTGTCATTGGTTCTGTTTATGTGATGGATTATGTTTATTGATTTGCATATGTTGACCCAGCCCTGCATCCCAGGGATGAAGCCGATTTGATTGTGGTGAATAAGCTTTTTGATGTGCTGCTGGATTCAGTTTGCCAGTATTTTCTTGAGGATTTTCGCATCGATGTTCAACAGGGATATTGGCCTGAAATTTTCTTTTTTTGTTGTGTCTCTGACAGGTTTTGGTATCAGAATGATGCTGGCCTCATAAAATGAGTTAGGGAGGAGTCCTTCTTTTGCTATTGTTGGGAATAGTTTCAGAAGGAATGATACCAGTTCCTCTTTGTACTTCTGGTCGAATTTGGCTGTGAATCTGTCTTGTCCTGGGTGTTTTTTTTTTTTTTGGTTGGTAGGCTATTAATTACTGCCTCAATTTCAGAACTTGTTATTGGTCTGTTCAGTGGTTCAACTTCTTCCTGATTTAGTCGTGGGAGGGTGTATGTGTCCAGGAATCCATTTGTTCTAGATTTTCTAGTTTATTTGCATAGAGGTGCTTATAATATTCTCTGATGGTACTTTGTATTTCTGTGGGATCAGTGGTGATCTCTTCTTTATCATTTTTTATTATGTCTATTTGATTCTTCTCTCTTTTCTTTATTAGTCTGGCTAGTGGTCTGTTTTGTTAATCTTTTCAAAAAACCAGCTCCTGGATTCATTGGTTTTTTGAAGGGTTTTCTGTGTCTGTATCTCCTTCAGTTCTTCTCTGATCTTATTTATTCCTTGTCTTCTACTAGTTTTTGAATTTGTTTGCTCTTGCTTCTCTAGTTCTTTTAATTGTGATATTAGAGTGTCGATTTTTAGATCTTTCCTGCTTTCTCCTGTGGACATTTATTGCTACAAATGTCCGTCTATACACTGCTTTAGCTGTGTTCCAGAGTTTTTGGTGCATTGTGTCTTTGTTCTCATTGGTTTCAAATAACATTGATTTCTGCCTTAATTTTGTTATTTACTCAGTAGTCATTCAGGAGCTGGTTGTTCAGTTTTCATGTAGTTGTGCAGTTTTGAGTGAGTTTCTTCATCTTGAATTCTAATTTGATTGCACTGTTGTCTGAGAGACTGTTTGTTATGATTTCCAGTCTTTTGCATTTGCTGACGAGTGTTTTACTTCCAATTATGTGGTCAATTTTAGAATAAGTGCAATGTGGTGCTGAGAAGAATGTATATTCTGTTGATTTGGGGTGGAGAGTTCTGTAGACATCTATTACGTCTGCTTGGTCCAGAGCTGAGTTCAAGTCCTGAATATTCTTTTTAATTTTGTGTCTCGTTGATCTGTCTAATATTGACAGTGGGGTGTTAAAGTCTCCCATTATTATTGTGTGGGAGTCTAAGTCTCTTTGTAGGTTCTAAGAACTTGCTTTATGAATCTGGGTGCCCCTGTACTGGGTGCATATATATTTAGGATTGTTAGCTCTTCTTGTTGCATTGATCCCTTTACCATTATCTTTGTCTTTTTTGATCTTTGTTGGTTTAAAGTCTGTTTTATCAGAAACTAGGATTGCATCCCCTCCTTTTTTCTACTTTCCATTTACTTGGTAAATATTCCTCCATCCCTTTATTTTGAGCCTATGTGTGTCTTTGCACGTGAGATGGGTCTCATGAATACAGCACACTGATGGGTCTTGACTCTTTATCCAATTTGCCAATGGGCATTTAGCCCATTTACATTTAAGGTTAATGTAGTTATGTGTGGATTTGATCCTGTCATTATGATGCTAGCTGGTTATTTTGCCTGTTAGTTGATGCAGTTCCTTTATAGTGTCAATGGTCTTTACAATTTGGTATGTTTTTGCAGTGGCTGGTACCAGTTTTTCCTTTCCATATTTAGTGCTTCCTTCAGGAGCTCTTGTAAGGCAGGTCTGGTGGTGACAAAATCTCTCAGCATTTGCTTGTCTATAAAGGATTTTTTTTCTCCTTCGCTTATGAAGTTTAGTTTGGCTGTATATAAAATTCTGGTTTGAAAATTCTTTAAGAATGTTGAATATTGGCCTTCACTATCTTCCGGCTTGTAGGGTTTCTGCAGAGAGATCTGCTGTTAGTTTGATGGGCTTCCCTTTGTGGGTAACCTACCTTTCTCTCTGGCTGCCCTCAACCTTTTTTCCTTCATTTCAACCTTGGTGGATCTGACGATTATGTGTCTTAGCATTTCTTTTCTTGAGGAGTATCTTTGTGGTGTTCTCTGTATTTCCTGAATTTGAATGTTGGCCTGTCTTTCTAGGCTGGGGAAGTTCTCCTGGATAATATCCTGAAGAGTGTTTTCCAACTTGGTTCCATTCTCCTCATCACTTTCATGTACAGCAATCAAACGTAGATTTGGTCTTTTCACATAGTCCCATATTTCTTGGAGGCTTTGTTCATTCCTTTTCATTCTTTTTCTCTAACCTCGTCTTCATGCTTTATTTCATTAAGTTGATCTTCAATCTCTGGTATTCTTTCTTCTGCTTGTTCGATTTGGCTATTGATATTTGTGTGTGCTTCACGACATTCTTGTGCTGTGTTTTTCAGCTCCATTAGGTCATTTATGTTCTTCTCTAAACTGGTTATTGTGGTTAGCAATTCCTCTAACCTTTTTTCAAGGTTCTTAGCTTCCTTGCATTGGGTTAAAACATGCGCCTTTAGCTCGGAGGAGTTTGTTATTACCCACCTTCTGAAGCCTACCTCTGTCAATTTGTCAAACTCATTCTCCATCCATTTTTGTTCCCTTGCTGGCAAGGAGTTGTGATCCTTTCAAGGAGAAGAGGTGTTCTGGTTTTTGGAATTTTCAGCCTTTTTACACTGTTTTTTCTTCATCGTTGTGGATTTATCTACCTTTGATCTTTGATGTTGGTGACCTTGGGGTGGGGTTTTTGTGTGGAAGTCCTTTTTGTTGATGTTGATGCTATTCCTTTCTGTTCGTTAGTTTTCCATGCAACAGTCAGGTCCCTCTGCTGCAGGTCTGCTTGAGTTTGCTGGAGATCCACTCCTGACCCTGTTTGCATGGGTATCACTGGTGGAGGCCACAGAACAGCAAGGATTGCTGCCTGTTCCTTCCTCTGGAAGCTTCATCGCAGAGGGGCACCTGCCAGATGCCAGCTGGAGCTCTCCTATATGAGGTGTCTGTCGACCCCTGCTGGGAGGTGTCTGCCGGTCAGGATACAAGGGGGTCAGGGACCCACTTGAGAAGGTAGTCTGACCCTTAGCAGAGCTCGAATGCTGTGCTGGGAGAACCGCTGCTCTCTTCAGAGCTGCCAGGCAGGAAAGTTCAAGTCTGCTGAAGCCACCCCTTCCCCCAGGTGCTCTGTTCCAGGGAGATGGGAGTTTTATCTATAATCCCCTGACTGGGGCTGCCGCCTTTCTTTCAGAGATGCCCTGCCCGGAGAGGAGGAATCTAGAGAGGCAGTCTGGCTACAGCGGCTTTGTGGAGCTGCAGTGGGCTCCACCCCATTTAAACTCCCTGGCGGCTTTGTTTACAATGTGAGGGGAAAACTGCCTACTCAAGCTTCAGTAATGGTGGACACCCCTCCCCCGACCAAACTCGAACATCCCGGGTAGATTTCAGACTGCTGTGCTGGCAGCAAGAATTTCAATCCAGTGTATCAGCTTGCTGGGCTCCATGGGGTTGGGGTCTGCTGAGCTATGTGGCTCTCTGGCTTCATCCCCCTTTTCAGGAGAGTGAACAGTTCTGTCTCGCTGGTATCCCAGGTGCTACTGGAGTATGAAAAAAAACTCCTGCTGCTAGCTCGGTGTCTGCCCAAATGGCCTCCCAGTTTTGTGCTTGAAATCCAGGGCCCTGGTGGTGTAGGCATCTGAGGGAATCTCCTGGTCAGTGGGTTGCAAAGACCGTGTGAAAAGCATAGTATCTGGGCCAGAATGCACCGTTCCTCAGGGCACATCCTTCAGGGCTTCTCTTGGCTGGGGGAGGGAGTTCCCTGACCCCTTGCGCTTCCCGGGTGAGGCAATGCCCCACCCTGCTTTGGCTTGCCCTCCCTGGGCTGCGCTGACTGTCTAACCAGTCGCAATGAGATGAGTCCCAATGAAATGAGCCAGTTGGAAATGCAGAAATCACCCGCCTTCTGCGTTGATCTCGCTGGGAGCTGCAGAACAGAGCTGTTCCTATTTGGCCATCTTGCCAGCCACCAGTTATTCTTCTTAACTCACAAAGTAGTTTAGTCTTATCTCCATTTTACAGAGTTAATAAAAATCTCCCAATAAATGCTAGTTGTGGTTGTTGTTATTATTTTTGGAGAAGAGGTCTCACTCTGCCACTCAGGCCAGAGTGCAGTGGCACAATCTCAGCTCACTGCAGCCTCAAACTCCTGGGCTTAAGTGATCTTCCCATCTCACCCTCCTGAGCAGCTAGGACTACAAGTACATGACCTGCCTGAGGTCATTTGTAAATGTGGTACCAAGACTCAAACTCAGGCAGTTTAGTTTGTGGCCCTACCCTCTTAACCACTCCACTAGGCTGCATCGCTATCAGAGAGAAGAGAATAAGCATTTTGCCTGGGCTGGTCCCAGGTTAGAATATGATTTCAGTTTGATTGAAAAGTTAATTGAAGACGGTGCATCCCAAGAGAACTGAGGATAAAGAGCCACGGTAATCCTTTGAGGCCCCTGGGAACCTCTGAATGATATGTGCCTAATTGTGCATACCTTGTGGAAAATGTGGAGAATGTCCTCGAACTCATGGGATTCCAATCTTGTGCTGTGTTTCTTTGTGAATTATAGTAGATACTATTATAACAAATATGAAAGTACTGGTGGTTAATGAAATAAACTTATCAGAAAGGAGTTCTTACAAGTGGAGTTTCTATTGATGTCTGCTATGAAAACTATTAATAATAAGGAGTTTAAAAAATGTCATCGAAAGGTGAAAGGAAATCTGCAGAGGTATGAATATCAGTTCATTCTTTATCAGAGGTAAGAGAACTAGGTCACAGAGATTGCTTTTGGGGAGGGGCTGAAATGACAGACGCTAATGTCAGAACAATGACTGGAGAGTTTTTAGCATATCTTTATGGTTTTTGAACACAATGAGCAATCTTCGATTTGGGAGCAGCTGACTTGTCCCTTCTTTGTAGCCACTGTCCCAGCAGGAAACACACATGCAGTCTCTCTTCTTCTAGCCATTTTTTTTCCCCATTGTGAGGATGGGTCTCTCCCGGTATGAGACCCCAGTAGCTAGTTTCAAGTGGGTTAAGAAAAAGAAGGAAGAATAGATGCAGAATCAACTCACTTCCTGTTTGATTTCAAAACAATCCTAAGTAGGAGTTTTATTTTAACTAAAGCTCTGAGAAGTTGCTAACTCAAGAGCACATAACAAGTGGCAAAACTGGATTTATAGACAAACTGTGACATCCAGAGTGGTGTTTTCCACAGTGCATTCTACTTGTCACCATGTCTCCAGCACCAGGTGGTAACGACGGTGAAGAAAGGGAAGGAAAATTTTTATCCCTCTGCCTGGCTGAAGCCCCTTTCCCTCCTTTGCTTTTCTGCCATGCCCAGTGCCAGTCTTCTTGACATAGGAGGGGGTGGGGGCAGGTGAAGGCGGTGGCCACCCTTGTTTCCTAATTCCCCATTCTAGATCCTTCTCCCGTGACACAGTCTCTCACCTCCTTCCTGTGCTTTTCATCCTGCCGAGATCCTTACTACTCACTTGGACCTCAAAGCAGCTATGCCACTGTTGACTCCTTAAGATAGAAAATGCCTTTGGTAATCTGCATTAAGCTCCACAGCCTGACAAATCTGAGGGGTAAATTTTCCTGAGTACTAAGGGAGGTGTTTTTTTTTTTTTTTTTTTTTTCCAGTATCTCAGTACAGGGTTATAATTGAGACATCACTACACCCAGAGAAACTTGATGCTAGAATTTGTCAGAAAAAAATGTATTCTAAACTAAAGACTTCCAATTGAACTGTTGGAATAGGCTCTTTTTATAAACTAGGGATCACTAGCAAAATCTCTTGTTTCCCTATATATAGTCTTCAGTTTCTGATCAAATGTTCAGTGGTTTTCCAGTTGTATCAGTTTTTGCATGAAGATCAATCAACATTTTAATGATACCAGGTAAAGTCATCTACATCCATCTGACTTTATTTTGACATGGTTTCATTTGATAGGTGACAGGAAATGAAACCAGGTTTTTCCTTCTTTGTACTGCCCTGGTGCCTGGAGCACATGCACTCCGCTGCACACACCCCACTATAGTCGTGTATTCACTCACCTGTCTCACATCAGACTGTGAACTCCTCTGTTGCATGGACCATGTTTTAACTCATCTTGAGTCTTAGCACAATATCCTTCCACTCTTTCCTTGTCCAATCCATTTTCCACAGAGCAGCCAAAGAGAGCTTTTGAAACCATAAATCAGATTTTGTCATTTTCTTGCTTAAAATCCTTCAAAGTCTTCCCATTGCCTTAAAATAAACTGTGCATGCCTGACCAGGGCTCACTACCCCCTGTAGGCTCTGGCTCCTGTCTGCTCTCAGCCTTGCTCCAGGACTGCTGGCCTCTGCTCAGTGCTCAGTGCTGTGCTGCCCCAGGGCCTTGAGCTTGCTCTTTCCTCTGTCTGGAATGCTCCTCTCTTGGCTTTTGCATGGTTGGCTTCTTCTCATGCTTCAAGTCTTAGATGCTTAAATGTCACCTTTAATGTCAGAGAGATCTTTCCCTGAACACTCCATATGAACTATGTCTACCCTGTTGCTTTGTATCTCTGCACCCCGCTTAATTCCTTTAAAGAAAGTCTTCACTTAACATTGTCATGAAAACTACATCTTTAAGCAAAATGATGTATAATGAAACCAATTTTACTATAGCCTAATTGATGGAAACAAGAGTTAAGTTCCCACGACGTATTTCTGGTTACAAAAACATCACCAAACTCCTAAATAAAGACCAAAACACTTCTAATATTAAACATTGAAATAAATGTGAGCTATACATACATTTAAGAAAAATTAATCAAAACAAGTAAGATAATTATCCAAATTCTGTTTGGCATGCAAGTGGCCGGAGCTGATCCTGCGGCTCAGGGCAGAAGGTGGGAACCAGCCCTGGATGGGAGCCATCCCATCGTAGGACACACTCATGCACACCCACATTCACTCAGACTGGGACCATGTAGACATGCCCATTCACCTAATGTGCACATCTTTGGGATGTGGGAGGAAACCTGAGTACCTGGAGAAAACATACGCAGACATGGAAAGAATGTGCAAACCCCTCACAGACAGTGGACCTGCCAAGAATTAATTTTTTTTCTCAATGTTATAATGAAACAACATTGAATGAAATGATGTTATTCAAGGGCCTGCTGTACATATCACAATGAGCAAGTACTTTGTTCATTGACTTTTTGGGGGTTCTCAATTTCTCTTATTGAAATGTAAGCACCATGAGGACAGGGTCTTCATCTGTTCACAGCTGTACCCTCAGCATAGAGTGGTGCTTAGCATTTCACATGTAGCTGTGCTCCATATACATGTGCTGAATAAATGAATGCATGAATGAACAAATGAACAATCACAGAGATTTCCTTATAGTCATTACCCAGTAGGAACTATGTGTCAAGACTCTACCAATGGTTTATAACTTTTGTGTTTACACAAGTGGATAATGTGTCCCCTCACACTGGCAAACACACCAGCTACTCAGTCCCAAGAGAAACTCAGCTCTTATTTATGACAGAGCCCTGCCTGAGAGCAGAGGTGATGTCCAAAAGTCCCAATGGTATTCCACATATGCTGCTGTCTCTGCCCAGCCTGCCTCCCTTTTCCTGCCAAGTCCTATATCTTTTCCAAGCCGGAGATGGCCAGACTGATTTTGAATGCTCTAAGTATAATGAGAAACTTGGGAGATTCTCACTTCTGAATTTGGAGATCCTCATTCATAGCTGTTTTTATCTGCTCTTACAAGAGGCTTGTGAATGAATTGGGGTGGATAATTGGGATGTAGCCCCTCTTAAGGCTGTCACCCCAATGACAGCATCACTCCCTCACAAAGCTAACCATATTTAGAAACAGCTTATTTATATTGCCATATCTAAAACCCTTTTTGGGGGCTCATTTCCAGATCTTGTCTTAGTAACCTTAGAAGCAAAGGAGTAGTCTCACCAAGTCTACAAACATTTAGGGTGACTTATATTTTGGCTCAGCCTGATAATCCCCCAACTCCTCTTAAAGGAAAGATGACCAAGATGCCAGCAGACCAGGTGTCCCCAGTACCTTGATTTCCCCTTGATTTATGCAATAATGCCATGGGAGCACACTGTGGAAAATAACCCCTCCAAAAATATTCATGTTCTATTGATCACTTAAAATATGTTTTCTTAGGCTAAAGTGGTATTTTGTTTCTAATTTTATAGTGTTTATATTCACAAAGCTTGCTAGAATTTCCAGTATGGCCCTTTAGTTAAGTTCCTGTAGCACCATATTACTAATAACCAACATGGAAGCAGAATAGAAAATGACAGGGAATTTTCTAATAATATTCAGGAGAATTTTCTTTTATCTTTATATCATTAGCCATTTTGAGATTGAAAAATAATTTTCTAAATTGTAGCCTAAGGTGATAATCTTCTAACTACAGTCTCCTTTCTCAGTGAAAGGGTGGGAGTCTTTGTTTTGTTTATTGCCTTTGAATCATTTATAGATTTAAAGCCACCCCACTGAGCACCAACTCATCTGCCAGATGCATCGGGCCTCAATGGGTTGGAAGTGAAATGAGGGGTCCCAAGCAGGGAAAAAGATGGAAACCATATTCACAGTTTATTTGCTCACAGATGTTCACATAATAGAAGCTGAAATTTAAGAAGTAGTTTCTTTGTATTTGGCAAGAGACAAAGGAAAACAGTTGTGTGTGTGTTGGGGGGTGAGGGGGGAGGTGGGAAAGCAATGAAATCATGAGAAGGATTGGGAATATCCATGTTCACCAACTTGAGCAGGGGAAGCTCATTGACAAGGATACTGATTTTCATTCCCAGGAACACCGACTGGCATTCGACTCTTGACAAATCCTCAGCGAGTGACTTTTACATGAGGAAGGGACTAGGGTTTGATCCTGGATGATGACTCGAAGACCTGCCTATTGATTCCTCCCCTCTCCCAGTACCCTGAGGAGTGGTAAGGAAATCGTGACGCAGTGTCGGGGTCCTGACAACTCCTGATGCTTTGTGATACTGCTAAGACATTGCCTACAGATGTTCTCTCTGCTGGTGTCAGTACTGTCGGTTTTGGTCTGTGTTTATCACAGTGACCTGTCACCTTTGTGGTATAGAGATCTCTGTTCACTCATGCAAGATAGGGTAGGACAATGTAAGGGAAAGAAGGACATTACTGCGACTTTATAGGTTTAGACTTTCTAGACTAGAAGGTTAGGAGCTGTGTTATTTCCTCCTCTGTGTTGTGTTCCCATAATCATTGTCAATGACCAAATGAATAACAGGCTCTGAATTATGATCTTTATGGCCTGAACAGCTGGATTTCTTTTAGGTTTGGCTGAGTAAAAGATTAAGATGCTTTTCCAATATACTGATAATTCTTCTAAAAATTATATGTAATTATATTCTACATTGATGTTAACTGAGTTCTCAGATTGGGAAGTATCTCCCTTCTCCCTTGCCCTGGCAAACAGTGACTGTCTCTATTAAAACTGCAATGCAGACAGGACCATGCCAGATTTTCCAGACATTGTTCTATTGTCATTTTCAAGTATCTTATTTTCACTAGAATGAAACTTAAACATATATTTATAATTTAAATTCCATTCCTTACATTCTTAAAACTTCTGCTTTTGAATGGTAATAATAATACTCACTAGCCAGGCAGGCTAACTACTGTATGAAAAAAACCTGCATTTCAGTAGCTTGATACAATAAAAATTAATTTTCTTGTTCAGATGGGAGGGATGAGGAGATGTTCCATTCAGAGACCCAACTTCCTTCCATCTTACAGTTCTACCCTCTTTTATATTCTTAGTGTCTTATCCATTCAGCTGGAGAATGAAAAAACAGATAATTTTTTTTTTTCAAGTTCAATAGCTCTTGGGGATAAGTGGTTTTTGGTTACATGGATGAATTGTATAGTAGTGAAGTCTGATATTTTAGTGTACTAGTCAGACAAGTAGTATACATTGTACCCAATATGTAGTTTTTTCTCTACTACCATTTCCCACCTTCCCCCCTTCTGAGTCTCCAAAGTCCATTATACCATTCTGTATGCCTTTGCATACCCATAGTTCAGTTCCCACTTACAAGTGAGAACATGCGGTGTTTGGTTTTCCATTCCTGAGTTGCTTCACTTAGAATAATGGCCTCCAACTCCATGCAAGTTTCTGCAAAATATATTATTTTATTCTTTTTTATGGCAGAGTAGTATTCCACATCTATATATACCACATTTTCTTTATCCACTCATTGGTTGATGGGCAGGCACTTAGGTTGGTTACTTGTCTTTGCAATTATGAATTATGAATTGTGCTGCAATAAATGTATGTGTGTAGGTTTCCTTCCTTCATTTCCTTTATCAAATAGTAGTTCTACTTTTAGTTTTTTAAGAAATTTCCATTCTGTTTTCCATAAAGATTATACTAATTTACATTTCTACCAGCAGTATATCAGTGTCCAAAAAGGAGAGACTTTTATGCACCAGAGATGTTTATGGGTCAGGCCAGGAGGAGCCCAGTTATTTCCACTTAACTTTACTGATTACAATTTGGTCATACAACCACACCTTAGTAAGAGGGAAGTGTAGTTTAGACATCATGGCTAGGAGGAAAAGGAGAACCCAGATATTGGTATATCCTAGCAGACTTTAAGCTAGTCAGCTACATATGCCCTTAGAACATTAGTTGCCAGGTCATATCGTGCAGAGCAAATATCTGTCAAATGACTGACATTTGTGAGCTTGTGAGCCCACTCATTGGTATTATCTTCAACATCTTCATCCAGGGTTGACTTAAGACCATCTGAAGTTGAAGCAGTAGGCAGTACAGACGTAGGAGGGTGTTTCCTGCCTTCTTGATCATGTCTCTGATAGATATTTTATTTCTGGCATAGAGTAATGACTGGCTGAAAACATTGAGTAACTTATAATCAGCAGTTGGTGACAGATTAATTTATTTACGATTTTCCTCTTACTTTTCTATTTCTTGGAAGATTTCTGAGTTAATGACAGATTCACCTGGCCAGTTAAGAAAATTCACCCTAACAATCTGCATGTGTGACCATCAAGATTGTAAGACATAAAGATAGTCTGTATTACTTTACTTCTGACTGAAGTTGAACTATTAGGGTATCTGGGGTACTAAACACTAGATTATCAGACATCTACTGCAGATTAAAATGAACTTATGACATGTCTTCTTTGCCCATTAGGCTTTCATGGCTATTAGCTCCTGGAGGCCTGGGACTTGTTTTATGCATTTTGCTCCTCTGGCACTTACCTTGTTGTCTCTGACATGGTAGATCCTCAACATATGTTCCCTGCAGTGGTTCTCAGAGTGTGGCCTCAGGACAGCCACAGTAGCTAGCACTACCTGTAAACTTGTTAAACATGTACTCTTGGGCACATCACAGACCTACTGAATTAAAAACTCTGAGGGTAAAGCCCAGCAACCTGTGTTTTAACAAACCCTCTAGGGTTCTGAAATGTGTGGAAGTCCAAGAACCCCTCCTTAAAACTGAAATGGACAGATGTTAACTCTGCAGACCTCAACACTATTTTGTACTTCATTGTTGGTCATCGTTCTCATCTGTTTAATCTTTGGTTTTAACTCAAGTTTAAATAAAGCATATTGAGAACTTTTTGTAGAATCAGATATTTCTGGAATTTACCCATAATAATCGAACATTTTTCAGTTTCACTCTATATCCCATAAAATCTCTGTCAATATCAAAGCTTAGCTTTAAGAACCACTTTTAAACATTCCAGATAATTACAGATTTGGAGGGAGATATTTTTATAGTTTCAAAAAACATTTTCATACTGTACTGAAACTTCATTTAGAAGATTCTCAAAACAGGTAACAAAAGTTAAGTAATGTGGTTTTAAGACAGTAAAATAGCTTTATGGCCAGTTAAGACATAGGCTGGAGGGCCAGACACTGGTGCAAATTTGGACTCTGATGATGTGTAGCTGTGTGACCTGGGACAAATTATTTAACGCTAGGTGCTTCAGTCTCCTCTGTAAAATGAGGATAATAATAGTGGCTACTTCACAGGGTGATTAGGAGAATTAAATGAGTTAATATTTGTAAGTAACTCAGAATAGTGCCATGGTAAGAGCTATGTAAGTGTGTGTTAGAGGAAATAATCATCTTTTAAGAAATTAAAAGCACATGATGAATACTTTATTATTCCAAATGTGGTGGAATTGAGGGACAGTAAGAACGGGGAACAGCATACTTTTAAAACAGTGTTTGTCTGCACATCAAAATCAGCTGGTGTTTCAAAAATGCAATTTCTTAGACCCATCTGCACCCCCAATCTTACTAACTCAATCTCTCAGTGAGACACACTTGTCTACACTTTTAGCAAGCTTCTCAAGCTGATTCTTATGCCTAGTAGAGTTTTGAAGAATTTTACAATAAACAGCATGGTAGGATGAAAATGGCTTCCCCCTCAAAGATATTTACATCCTAATCTTGAAACCAGTGACTGTTAACTTATGTGGCAAAGAAAAAAAGCCAGGGGAAGGGGTCTTTGCAGATGTGATTAATATAAGACTTTTGAAATGGGGAGATTTTCTTCGATGGTCTGCATTGGACCTAATGCAATCACTTGTGTTTTTTTTTTTTTTTTTTTTCTTTTTGAGACGGAGTCTTGCTCTGTCGCCCAGGCTGGAGTGCAGTGGCGCGGTCTCGGCTCACGGCAAGCTCCGCCTCCCGGGTTCACACCATTCTCCTGCCTCAGCCTCCCGAGTAGCTGGGACTACAGGCGCCCGCCACCATGTCCGGCTAATTTTTTGTATTTTTAGTAGAGACGGGGTTTCACCGTGTTAGCCAGGATGGTCTCGATCTCCTGACTTCGCCATCCACCCGCCTCGGCCTCCCAAAATGCTGGGATCACAGGCGTGAGCCACCGCGCCCGGCCCACTTGTGTTCTTATTAGAAGGAGGTATGGGGAGGGGATTTTCTTTTTTCTTAATTTTTATTTTTATTTTAAGTTCCGGGGTACATGTGCCAGGTGTGCAGGTTTGTTACGTTGATAATCGTGTGCCATGGTGGGAGATTTTCACACACACTGAGGAGATAGAAGATGGAGCAGAGGGAAATTTAAAGATGCTTGCCTTGAAGATTGGAGTGATGCAGCGACAAGCCAAGAAATGCCACCAAAGGCTGCAAGAGGCAAGGGCAGTTCTCCCCAGAGCCTCTGGAGGGAGAGAGTTCTTGCCAACACCTTGATTTCCGGCTGGGGATTCTGGCCTTTAGAACTGTGAAAGAATAAATTTCTGTTGTTTAATATCACTAAATAATGGTAATTTGTTCCAGCAGCCACAGGAAAATAATACAAGCAACATCCTTTAGGTTGTTTGGTTTTATACCTATACATAAAATATTTTGAGCACATGATCCAAAATATGTTGACTCAAATATTTTTGCATGACACTGTACCAATTTATTTATGCATTATAAGACACACAAAATAAAAATTTTAAATGAAGCACTAAGAAGGGAAATTAATATCTAAAAGTAATTTTATATTACTAACAGTATAAGAAATCTTTTACTCCTAAAAATTATTGTTTTACAGTGAAAGCAATGTGATAGAATATGCTACATTAGTTTGAAAAATCTTAGTTTAACACTTTCTTAAAGATATGCTTCAAAGTTTGGCTTACTTAGATTATTTCATTCTAACGATGATGTGGCCAAAAAAGATACATTTTGAGGCTATGCAGATTCAAAAAGAAGTAGTACATCCTTGACTATCCTTACTAAATCAGGAAGTTGTTTTATTTTCCAATTCCATTTGCAAATTATGCAAATAATTTTTAAAATCACAATCAGCTAATACACACCTTAACCATCTTGTCAATCAGTTGCTTTTTTGAACTAATCAGATGATACCAAGTCAATATACTTTTTTTGTGTGCGTGTGAGACAGGGTCTCACTCTGTTGCCCAGGCTGGAGTGCAGTGGCATGGTCATGGCTCACTGCAGCCTCAACCTCCCAGGCTCAAGTGATCCTCCTACCTCAGCCCTCGCTGAGTAACTGGGATGACAGGTGCATGTCACCATGCCTAGCTAATTTTTAATCTTTTGTTGAGACAGAGTCTCACCATGTTGCCCAGGCTAAGTCCATATGTTTTCAACAAATAGATTCAAACCCAATTGAATGTCTTTATTTGAAATATTTAAAAATAGCTCCAAGTTTCTAAAGGAAGCAGATACGAGAATATTTTAAGTGAGACATAGTGTTTTCTGGCAACAAGATCACGTAATCATGGAAATATTTCCAGACATCTGTTTTCAGAATGTTCTCTTTTTTAAGTGATTTTTTGATTCATTGTAAAAACACTCCTCTCTCATGGAAGGAAATACTAAAAAGGAAAAAAAAGAATTAAATCTTTAGAAAGTTAATCAGTGGATTTATTTTTTCAAAAAATATCTTCTAGATACCTTCCAGGGTTGGTAATCTCTTATGTTACATAAAGCTTGATAAAATTTGAACATTTGTATTTTTATAAAAAATATGAAACTCATCTTTAAGTTGAACAACTCTTCAATACTGTCATGAGATAGCTGATGAAACTCTTTGGAGTACATGAGTTTCATATTTCATATTTCATACAATCATTCCATTGTAAAATATTATAATTATTCTACTACTTAAGATAAAATAATTTATAAATATATTTAATGAGATAGATACTTGCACTATGTTGAAAGCAAATCAGTGGTTAAGGATGCCGCTGCCATCTCCTCAGAGCCTGGGACTTCCATGATTCTCGGGGTACCTCATTCACCATGCCCCATATTTAACTTTTGGATATGCAGCCAATTGTGAGAATGTGCCACTGTCATTCTGTATATATGATATTAGTCAAGCTTAATTTATTTTTTAGTGTTTGGATGAAAAACAAATAGAAATAGAAATTCCAATATTTTTTCTGTCATAAAGTGATGAATACTTTTCAAACTTTCTGGGATGCTGACTACTTTGAAGACTATAGCTTCGAAATGAGAAGAGTTTGCTGTATAGATTATAGAGAATAGAATGGGATTTGTCAAGACGGTACAGAAAAGAAGGACCTGAGACAAAAAAGGGAAAGGCTCAGGAGAATGGATGACAGAAAGGGATGAGAACCAACATGGGAAAATAGAAGTGGTTGTGCAAATGTCCTAGTAAGGTTTTCCCCAAAATAGACTCTGAGATGGAGATTGGTATGCAGCAAGTTTATTACGGAGTGCTCTTGATGTCAAAACCTTGGACAGAGGGAGAAGTTGGGTGGTTGATTGGCCTCAGCAAACCACATGGGGTGCTCTGAAAATGGGATAGTTTTTGCGAGTTGTTTCAAGTTGGGGTGACAGGGGGTGAGCTTTTATAGCCCACATTGACCAGTCATTGGTTGCAGACTGGCTTGGAAAGAATTTGGGCTTAGGTAAGGCAGCAATTCCCTGTGAGTGTTGGGAGCCGAAGGTGTCCAGAGCCAAGGTCATCAATGAACACCCTTCCCTGTTGCTAGGACAGTGAGCCCCCTACTTCTCTAGCACTGGCTTTCCTGCAGCAAATGTTCATTGCTACCAACAAAGACTCTGAGTCTGAGGGAACTGAATAGCATTCCTATAAATCAAATAAACATTTAATTAAGATATACAGAAAGTAAAACTTAGTTTTAAAATATTACATTGATTAATTGCCCTCTCTAGGCCACAAAATCTCACCAAGGGCCATATCACCTTCTAGAGGCTGAAAATTGTTTCTTGGGGGTAAAACACACACACACACACACACACACACACATATATATGTGTGTGTGTGTGTGTGTATGAGATAGATACTTGCACTATGTATATATGTATATAATATGTGTATATATATGTGTGTATATATATACATTCACACACATATATATGCATAAAACACGGTACATAACAGTACATAACAGTACCACCATGTATTTGTGGAATTAAAATGGCTGAGAAACGATGCTTTCAACAATTAGTGGCTAGTAGGATAGTAATTGTGTGAGTGTGTGTGTTGGGGAAGGAGGAGGGCACTCTGAGTATTTTAAACAAAATATTTAGAACTCAGGTCAAGAAAGACATATGTAAGAGGAAGATCCTTCTTTCCCCACAGAAAACCAAGAGGTCTTTAAAGAAAAGCCATTTTTTCTCTCATAATCTTTAGATCCTGTCAAAGTCCTGGGCATTTCTAAACCAAGCCCTTGAATCTTCTCCCTGATGCAGGTGATCGGTCTAAAGGGCAGGTGGCCCCTTGTTTGTAGCCCTGGGGTGGGAATATCAATTACCTATTAGGGAGAAGGAACTCAAGGCCCAGAGGAGACACTCGATCCACCAAAGGTCACAGGAGTCAATGACAGCTTAGGACCTAGAACATTAACTGAAGCTTTATTCACTTGAAAACCCAATTTTCCAGGACAGAAAGCAAGCTGGTTTTCGCTCAAAGATGGATACTTCTGTGTGGCATCTGACACTCCATTTTTCTTAATTACATAGTTTTGGTGCTGAGGAAGATATGAGTGTCTTTGTGGGACTGAAACAGAAAAGTCAGACTGTTCAAATATGAAGCATTACGTAAACTGAAAGGGATACATTATGATCAACAGTTAGAAGAAATAACGAGGAAAAATTCCATTCAAAGAAAACTAATTCTTTACTGAAAAGAACCAGAGTTCCCAAATGCTGTGCTGTGCTGTGCTGTGCTATGTGTAAACAAGACTGAGCCTTAACCCGTATCTTCCACAGGGGTATAAATGGCACCCCTTGAGCTGTACAGTACAGAAGCCCTGATCCCCTGTGAGGACAGTGCCAGGTGCATAGTAGATGTTAAAGAAGTATTTTTTGGATGGGTAAATGTGCCGTCAGCTCCCTTAAGCTTCCATAATCATTTCCCTGCTAGACTCTAGCAAACCTTCCTCTAGTTGTCCTGGTTGTGACATTGAAACAGGGTGGAGTTGTGTGACATGTGTTACCTGATAGGTGCAATTATTATCCTCCTTTTAGAGAAAGTGTATGAATAAACGGTATATAGAGGCTTTAGGAACCAAATATCTCAGGTTTAATTTTTGCCCTTTGGCCTGATTTGCTTGGTTGTCAAAATATAGTGAATTGCTCTGGACCTACAGAATGCATAATGGCCATCCAAGTAACCGTTCAAGAAGCATTTTTTGAAAGCCTCTTTACATGCCAGGCCCTGAGCTATATTGGAGGGGTACAAAGATAAATGATATAGACTCTACCCTTAATTAGTTCATTATTTAGTAGATGGCAGCCCCTAGAAGATTGGGGTTGTGAGAAGAGGGCAAATTCACTAGTACAGAAGTTGCCCAAGGTATTTGTACTTGAGAGAAGGCTGTGCTGTTGGCATATTTTGTGGGCCTCTTGGGATACCTCCACCCCAGGGCCTACCCTTGGGGATACCCCCACCCCTGTTCCCTAAGCATAGGCCCTGGGCAGCACCCAGTTTCCCTACTTAGGGATGCTCCTAGACAGATCACTGTGGCAGCAATCTGAGAACAACAAGGAGGAAGGTGCAGTTGAAGTTTGAATTTTAAAAGATGGGCTTGGAGGCTATGGGGTAGTGGTAGTGAGGCTGGAGAGGAAAGTCTGTGTGTAAATGATGCAATTCATAGTAACAAATATTTATTGAGTGCTTGCAATTTGTTAGGCACAGTTCTCAGCACTCTGCATGTGCCGATTTCATTGAATCTTCACAATCATATGTGGTTGATATTATTATTACTATTATTATTATTATTGTGTTTTTCAGATGAAGAAACTGTGGCATAGAGTAATTAAGCTACTTGCCCAAGGACACACAGTTAGTAAGTGGCAGAGACAGGTTTTGAATTCTTAACCACCACTCTATCCTGCACTGGACTTGATAGATTGGAGGTGAGAAGTGCATTGAAGGAAGGGCACAAACCACTCCTTATGATGTACTCACTATGATGGGGAACACCAGAGGGAAAAAAGATTTGGGATGCCAGGAAGAGTGTGGTTTGGGACAATTTGGGACCTGTAGGTAGAGATGCTTAGTTAGCTGATGGTATATGCTTCTGGAATTCAGGAGAGAAACCTGAGCCTAAAAGAAATTGAACTATATCAAAACTAGTCAATCCACATGTAGCAGAGAACTAAACGGTTTAAATAACATTTGAAAATTTGATCTTGTACTTTCAGAAGCTCATCTCCAGAGTCACCAGATATCCTCATCCCTAGCATTTATACAAAATGAGCTTTTATTCATAAAGTTGATTTCTCTGGCTTTTCTCATTGGGAGGCCAACCTCTGAGTAGTAGCAATGATGGATTTACAACTATTCATTTACAGTCTTTCACCCAGCATTTGTGACATCATTGACTGGCATTGTTGGTTTAGTTTGTGTCCATGGAACAATTTCTGTGTGAAACTAATTGACATATATGGACATGGGATGCACGGCATTGGTCCCATTGGCACCACGTACCAATCAAAGGAGCTGATTGAGAGCAACATCAAGAGAGAGGGGAGATGCTGCTGACATTTTTACGAGTCTGCAGAAAGAATGTTTCAGGGCTTATGTGTTCAATAAATCTACTTGCAGAACGGATGGGGAAGATAAATTAATGCCTGTGCAGTTCTTTGTTCCCTGTTCTCCAAAAGGGGGCTGCCCACATGCAGCTGTTCTTAACAGGAAATTGCTTTTCAATCTTTAATGAAGGGTGTTCTTCAAGTGCAGCAAGTGTACCCTCTCCAACCCCAAATCAGAATATGCCCCCATTTTTTGCCCTTTGCAGAATGCCTATCATGGAATCCATTATATGGAGATCTTAGGTGATGAGTGGCTTAAAACCAAAGATCTTCAGCTTTAGTGTAGTGATGGCTTCCTGGGGCAGAAGTTATTCATGTAAACTCACAAAGCTGCTTCTCTCTGCCCTTCTGGGCATGGGAGTAGGGCAGGATGCTGGTGCTGCTGAACAGGAGAACTCGGAGCATGTTGCATTCTCACTCGTCAGAAAATGGACAGAAACTTGAAAAAGAGAAAGAAAAATAGCAACCAATGCACATCACTCTGAAGAAAAGCTGGGCCTGCAGTTTTCTGAATAAGCAGGATGATTGGTGCCTCTAATTTTCTGTCTCTAATAGCAATTGACTAAAGGACATTCCTTCTCTTCTCTTTGTAGCCAGGACGGGGTTGCTAAGTGAGTCCCCCTATGTGAGAAATGAGTGTTTCTTGACAGGAGTTAGCATTATTCTCACACTCTCTTGTTAAACCACTAGTCTTTAAACTTTCACAATTGTCTTCCCCTACCAATACTAGAAACCTCAGTAAAGACTCTTAATAAATGTATGTATTCTTAAATTATGTGTGTGCACATGTGTGTATTACTCTACTTATAACATGAACATTAAAAAATTCTATCCCTTGCCATGCAATTTAAGCATACTGGAATGCACTTGCTTGAAAATAGCATTATTTCAGTTATTGGTTATTAGTAATTATTGGTAAAAAGAAAAATTCCTTATACTACAATAGGCCCACATGTGTCTCAATACCAAGCCGAAGAAAGTCTGGATTGGAAAGAGAAAAAGACTGAAGAGACTTCTGCTAGAACCTAGCAGGGAAGGGATCATAAAAGGATGTTTGTTCAGCAAATATCCACTGAACACCTATTTTGTGCCTTTGAACAAGACAGGCCCCTGCCCTAACAAGCCTGTGTTCTTCTGAGAGAATCCAGCTGCCCCATTACATGACTCAAGAGGGTGCATTTACGTAGGCTTCATGGCTGCCCTGTGAGGGGAGGTGTTGATGAGGGAAACCAGCGAACATATACTGTGTCAGATAGAAGTAAATGCTATGAGGAAGAATATGCAGGGTGAAGGGGTAGAGTATGAGAGAGGCTGATCTTTCCCATGGGGGAAATCTTCTGAGAATGGGGATTTGAGCCTTGACCTGAATGCTGGGAGGCAGCTAGTCCTGTGAATATTGGAGGAAGAGCATTCTGGGTATTTATTTGGGGTCTCATCCTTACATCCTTGGTTATAGGTGACTCAAGCTCAGCAGGCCCGAGAATGACCTCCTGAAGGGCTGGCTGGCTCCTGGGGAACAGGAGGGCCCATCCTCAGCAGCTGTGAGCTGCCACATAAATAAGGCCCAGGGCTTTGTTACAGCCAGTCTGCTCCCTGTCAGGCCTGACAAGGCAGCACACTTTGTGTTTGCTAATAATGGATTTCCTTTCTGAGGCGCCATCAGGCTCTGAAAGCACTAACCGAGTTGGTAAGCTGGGCTCCTCTTTTCCTACTTCTCCCGGTAGAAGGCTGCATCCTCAGAAGCTCTTTCAGCCATTTATGAACATAGATTGCCATTGTCTTGTAAAAAATGAGTTTCTAAACCATGTAAGCAGTTAAATCACCAGCTGGCTAGACCCTAGACTTTAGCTACCAAGTATTTTAGAAAAATGGTCTTTTATGACACTGCTTGTAGGGAAGTAGGAAGTTTCGTTGTAAGGGCGATGGGGAGTTTTGGGAGTCTCTTTCCCCACATATTTCTACTGAACTGTTAAAACAAGTCCAACAAGGCAATGATTTAAAAAAATTTAACAATCTCCAACCCTGCTCTTCTCTAGTAACATATATGGCAGAGGCCAAGAGTGTAAGCTCTATGCCAGACTGCTGGGTATAAATCCTGCTTGCCACTTGCTAGCTGTGTGATCTTGCACAAGTTATTTCACCAATTTTGTTCTCAATTTCCTTATCTGTAAAATGAGACTGTAAAATGGAACATTCTTTTACTCACCTTATGCAGTTGTTATAGTGAATGGGTGGTGCATAATGCTCTTAAAATAATACCTGCTACAAAGTAAGCACTATTCTCATATTAGCTCTTACTAACATAGCTATCATGAGATGCTATTTTTTTTGTTTGTTTTCTCTTATGTCATTATATAGAACTTGGCAACTCATTTTTTTTTTCACTGAATCCATCAACAGGCATCCTTCTAGATTCAAATCCAAGCATATGTAGATATTATTAATTTTTAACAACTGCCTAATGCTACTTAATAGGGATCACCAGTTGTTTGAACACTACATTTTTAGTAGGCATTCAATTGTTTCTAAGCTTTTACTCTTACAAATAATATAGCAATAGACTATTGTACATATATCCTTTTTTATGTTGCTCTGTTTCTAAGTGATAAATTCTTTAAAGTGGGATTGCTGGATCAAAAGTCATGAGCTTTTAAAATGGTAATAGATATCCCAAAATATCATAGCAATTTGCACTCATACCAGAAATATATGAGTGCTCATTTCCCCATGTGCTTACCAGCAGTGGATATTTTTAATCTTTAATTTTTTTCCAGTCCAGCAGGCAAAAAATAGAATCTCATTGTCCTTTCAATTGACATATCTCTGACTGCCAGCGAGGTTGGGTACATCAAAAGGTTCTAAGTGGGGGCATTAAATAGTAAAATTTCCAGTTTGAAAGATCAGTAGGGCTACAACATGGAAAGCTGAGAAGGGTGGGAGTGGGAAAGGTTGATCTGGAACTAGGGAGGATCGTTAGGATGCTGTTTCTGTTCTTCTACCTTTACCACTATTTTGACAATAACCTGTATTCCCAAATGTCAACCTCTAACCCTTGATCTTCGTCCTGGATTTCAGCATCATGTTTCTTTTTCTGTATCCGAAATGGAGTGCTAGTTGTGGAGGCAGATCAAACTCCACGTACCCTGAACACATTCCTTTTTTTATGTCCTCTCTTTCCCAAATCTATCCTTTCTCTTATTTACTGGATTTATCTAGTGACCTCACTATCCCCTTCACTAAATACAGGGGTGTTTAGTTAATCTTGCCTACACTACAAAACTTGGGGTTACTTTTCAGTCCTTATCCTTTGCCTCCCACAACCAATCAATCCCTAAGTCCTATGATTTTACTGCTTGTCATTCGAGTCCTCCCTGCCTGTCATTCTTTCTTTTGCTGCTGTTGATCACAACCTCATCTTTTTCTAGATTATTGTAGTAGCTTTGTGGGTTCTAGCCTGATACTGTTACTTTATTCTATTCTCTCTGCTTGGAATTTTCTTCCCTCTTTTGCCCCCTAATAGTGAAATGAAACTTTCTCCTAAGCTCAGCTTGAGTGTTCCTTTTTCGGGGACGTCTCCTGTTATTCACATTCTTGCTCCAGGCAGAGCTAACACTTCCTTCTCTCCTGCTCCTGTTGCATTCTGTACATTCTTAGGTTTCAAAGCATATTGCATATTATCATCACTTGAAAGCATAGCACTTCTTTTTCCTCCAAATATCTGTGACTTCCTTGTGAACATGGTCCATTTTTTTCATATTTAAAAATATTTTTAATTGGCACATAGTAATTGTACATATTTATGGAGTACACAGTGATATTTTAATATAATGCTACTTAATATATACAATGTACACATGATCAAATCAGGGTAATTAACATATCTATTACCTCAAACATTTATCACTTTTATGGGATGTTGGGAACATTCGATATCCCTCATCCTTTTATCCAGCACAGCACCTGCAGAAAGGTAATATTTAACAGTTTGTTGAACAAGAAAAGCAGATTGGCTTAAATTTTTGCTGCTAAGAATTAAATTAATTAAAAATGTATTTTCTTTTAAATTTTAAAAATTGTAAAGTAGTGCTGGCTCCTTATAAAAAATTTGGGAAAAAATTGAAAAGTTGAAATCAAAAAAATGATAAAAACTCATCCATGTTCCCATTTATAATTTTATCTTGATTTTTCCTTCTTAGTTTAATGAACACATAATAACCTGTAGTGGGATGACTTTATTCCCCTCTTCTATAAGTCCCCATTCCTATAATTTGGGAACCCCATACTAAACTAAAAAGAAAGGAGCCTGCTGTAATGTCAATTAATAGTGGGAAAGAGAAGGGTAATCCGTTAATATAAGAAAACATAAAAATATCTTAACAGAAGGTTATCCTTCCCTGTGTTTTGATGGATGTAATATTTTTTCACACTGAAGCCAGTATGGTGCCCCTGGGGTCTAGAGTTAAGTCCTTGTGGGAACTGAATTTGGGGGTGAAGTGAATAGACTGTGAGCACACATCTTGAATCCCACCACTTGATGTGTGTGCTTTGTCACTCTCTCATCGTCATGTATTTTTTTTCTTAATAGTAAAGTCTCTCTCGTGAGATTCTGCTTCTCTACCTTATTCATTTTCGCTGACCACCTAAAGCAATCAACAAACTAGTATTCATGGTCTACTTTGCGTTAGAGCTTGAAAAAGATGAGGTGGGATAAATCTTATCCCACTAGATCTTTATATCATTAGATCATTTATATCACAAACTTCCTTTGGGATTTCAGGTGTGTACTTGCTTCATCAGCTAGGACAGTAAATCTGTTTTGCATACTGACTCTTCTTCTCTTTCCTATGATGAGATGCGGGTACAATTTTTATTTGTTACTTATAATGGCATAATTTACATACTCAATCCTATATTGAATTTATATAAGTTTTTTTAATTTTTAACTATTATGATTGTTGTAATTAATAAATACTTGCAGTATTAAGCATCTTTCCTCTTCCTTTTGGACAAAGTGTGAAAAAAAGAAAAAAAACATTTTCCTTATATTTCAGTCCTATATCCTTAAGCCATTTCTAGATGTAGAATTACTGAATCAAAGTATAATAATAATTGGAGGCTCTTCAAACATTTTGCCAAGAGTTTTTCAAATTTACACTCTTTCCTGTTATATATGAAAGTGACCATTTTGTTACACCATTTCCAACAGTGAAGATTAACAAAAAATAAGTCCTTACTAATTTGCTAGGTGAAAGGCAGTTATAGAATTTTTACAAATTGTTTCCTCACATCTTCAGGAAATCAAGATTGACAGAGACTATTCATCTGTCTGGAAAGGTTTTAACTGTACTAAAGTCTGTTATGGATGACTTTAAGTGTTCTGATAGCTCTGTAACTCTAGGCTACCCTGAGTATTATTCCCCTCTACAAGGTGCAGAATTGTGTTTCAAAAATGGACAGTTATAAATAATATGTGCTGTGTCATCTTTATGTAGGAGGAATGACAGACATCTTATAAGAGATATGGCAGTTGGCGGCCCCAGGGAGAAAGGAAAGGAAAGATTTAATTAAAGAGTAGGTTGGGTGGTCTGGAGAGGGAGGAGCTCACTAAAATTTGCTAACTATGCATTTTAGTTTTATGAGCAAAGGACTGTTAGAGAATGTTACATGAAGCTTACTCTCTTTTTCAGTTAAAACGCAAACACATACAGATACACACACATGAACACACAGATATGTGCATACTCATCTAGGTTAAGGCGGAAGATGGGAAACAGATGGAAAGGCACAACAAAAACTTCACGAGTCTCAACTACCTTTAAATCAGAACATTCTGCTTATTGAGAGTTCCTGTCTTTCATGACATTTGGTTGCCTTTGTATAGCCATCTGCCTTTCTTGAGCTTATAAACCTCAAAATGCAAGACTTGGATTTCAAATCACTATTTGGAAATCATAATTTCAACGTCCCCAGAGGAGGAAGTGCTATTTGTAGCAAATGCTCCTCAAAGTATTTCTAGCACTTCACAGATATTTTCTCACTAGTCATCATATATTTTTATTGTTGTTGTTCCTTAATAGAGAAATGAGACTGGTGATATGAGCTTCTGCTGCTCATCCTTATTCATTCTCATTGCTCAACTAAAGAAACTGACAAATATATATTTGTTGTCTACTTCATATAGGGCCTTGAAAAAGACAGAGGAAGCTAGCTAAATCTCGTCCCACCAAATATTTCTGTTTAGAAAAAAAAGACTTGAGGTGATTAGTGATGAAATGAAGATCTGTTTTCAAATACATCGCAGTCAAGTTTGGTGGAGATACGTGTTCATCAATAGTAGCGTGGTTTCAGTGGGTAGTGATTGGGGTGAATGCAAGACCAAGGTTAATAAATAGCTGAACTTCTATAGAGTCTAACAATTTAGAAAGAACTTGCAAATGAATTATTCTTCCTTGAGCCCCACCAAAGCCCCATTTAGGACCAGAGTCTTCATTTTACAGCTAAGGAAATTGAGGCTCCTAAATGTTAAATAAATAACTTAAGCAGAACCCCATGAGTCCGAACATAAACAGTGATAGACATCACAAGTTCACGATTCGGTGAGGAGATTTGCCTGCTTGGATCTGAAGATTCTACAAAGTAATTTGCAAGGAATAAGATTTCAGAGGTAGGGTAGAGCCTTTGGAACTAAATTAGATGAATTGATTTTTTTAAGTTGTGAGCAGGAGTGTAATACATTAAAAATGATGTTTGGCTTAGGATGGAGGTTAAACTGGGATGGGGAGAAGTTTGGAGAGGCTGACTAAATTGTGTTGTAATAGCCAATGTGTGAATTTAAATGTTGGATAAGAGGACGATGTAAAATGGAGAGGAAAAGGTCCAAATGAAGGACATATCAATAATCCCAGCAAGTTGGGAGGCTGAGGCAGGAGGATTGCTTGACCTAGGAATTGAAGACCAGCCTGGGCAAGATGACAGAACCCCATCTGTATAGAATAATCTTTAAAAATTTAGCTGAGCATGGTGGTGCATGCCTGTAGTCCTAGCTACTCAAGAGGCTAAGGCAGGAGAATCACTTGAGCCCAGGAATTCGAGGCTGCAGTGAGCTATGATCATGCCATTGCACTCCAGTCTGGGAGACAGAGTGAGACCCCATCTCTAAAAAACAAAACAAAACAAGAAAACATGGAGGTCTTAGTAATTAAATGGACATTGTTGATGATAAACAAGGGGAGATTCGGTTTTGAGGCTGGATGGCAGTTTAGTTGACACAGACATGGCTCCTTGAATTCTCAGACAGCCAGACAATTCTCTGAAAGCGTTCGCAGTGCTGGAGGAACACAGAGCTAGAGCGTAGTTACATAGCAGGAGTTTTCTGGCTTGTGTATAATTATCAAGTTAATTTGATGAGGTGAGCTATCAAATAAGAGATAGGGAGACTACACACCTGATGAGTGGCTTTTACCAAAGTGACGTTTCCAGTGTTGATCAGTGTGTTTCTCTGCTGTAAGAACAGCAGTGCCAAACCACTGGATCTAGTTTTCTGCCTTGTTTGGTGACGGTGTTTTTTTCAAGCTGTGCCATGGGACACGTAGGGACTAGAGTTCTTTAGTAATGAAGATTTCCGTTATGAGGAAGTGTAAAGTTTTCAATCACCTTGCAGAAAAGTAGATATCACTATTATGACAATTTGTACTGCTCCATCTTAGCCTGACTAGCACCATTTCTGAAGGTACCTTTCAAACCTATTACTGCTATTGTAGAAATGCAAGCTTTGACCAAGTCATGTCTGTGTGTGTGTGTGTGTGTGTGTGTGTGTGTTTGTGTGTTTGTATCAGATCTACTGTTAAAGAGACAGAGACAGGATGTAGTGAAGACGCCTGAACTTAGGATTTTCACCGGGATTTTCCCAATCTGCTGTGAGGCTTTGTCCTGGTTGTCTGACTTTGGGCAAATCCTTTGGTTTCTCTATACCTGTTTTCCCATCTATGAATTAACAGTTGGGCTACAGGCTGCTTATAATCTGTGCCCTTCCACCCAGTTCCAGCATTCTATTGTTACATTCTATTTAACATTTGCTAGGGAAAAGTAGTAACTCCTATACCTTCAGTGTGCCTAATAAATTGGTGTAACTATATTAAATTGATAATATTAGCAAAAGATAGTTTGCTAGCCACTCAGAAACACACTTTTCCCCATCGTTGGAAAATAAATAAACTTGAATAGATGATTTGTGTAATATTCCCTTCACAACTCTTTTAATTTAGGAGTTTCATGTGAGGAAAATAAGTGTAACTTTTTTCAAAAGAAATAAAGCTCCAGAGTTTAAGCTCACTGTTTTATTACATCTGCTATCTGGAGGCAAAAGAAGTTTTTTTTTTATTATTTTATGGAAAAGTGATGTCTTTTATTCAATAGGTTAATATGGGCACCAAATATTTCCATGGTGGGAATGGGGTGGTTAGGTTGGGCAGTAGAGTTGAAATAATACAGTGCAGAAAGAACCAGGTAGAAGCAAAAAAGATACTAATCAAGTCCATATTTCTTTTAAGGGGAAAAAAAGACACAGTTGCTCCAATGAATCTAAAATTAGTAAATAAAGAATAGTTGTTTAATTATTCAGCTACATTCTCCCCATAAGTGATGAGAGTGAAGGGAACTGAATAATCTATTTAAATTACATTGTCACCCGGCATTTTTGGGGGTCTTGGCTACTTTGTCTCACCCTGGAAAGTTTACTCTCTGTATTGGCATCAGCCCACTCCTGAGGATCACATTGTCCTTGATGGTAGTAGTATACTTTAGGTGTAGCCAGTGAGTGCTTGGTGGCGAGGGATGGGGTGAGGCTTGAGACACCTGTGTGTATCCTCCCAGACTCCATCAGGGAAGCACGTGCCTTGTGAGAGGGCAAACCCATGCCTTCCCCTGTAATATATTGTACCCTGTAATTCTAAGGCGAAATCACAACTCCTTTGGTTGCTTTTGAGACCTGCGCTTTTGAACCAAAGTTGGACTGTTCCGTAAGATTCCCTACCCAGAGTTTAAAGCTCACTCTGATCTATCCCCAATTCACTGCAATCTTTTGTTCCATTGCCTGGGTTCTGTAGCCTTCAGTTACAGGATGCAGGTGCAATTTTGCTAGCAGCTAAATCTGGTCCCTTGATAACTACCAAAGGCAGTGGCTTCCAACAGGGGCCGCATTGGCCTTGGGCCTGCTGTGTGGTCAGACTGCTAATGACTGCATCTGATATTTGTCACAAATGCCCAGGAATGAAGATATTCTAGTCTAACATTCTTTTTCTGCCTCTTATGTGAATTTGAAGTTGCTCATAGCTGGTATAAAGAAGAAGTGAGTTGCCTGCTACTAAGCAGGTTGCAGTTCCTCCCTGGTCTCACCTTCCTTATCTGATAAATGAGAGAGTTGTCTGAGGTCATTGTCTACTCCGACACACCAAGATATCACAATATCCACATTTTATTACTGTTTTCCTATCAGGTTCCTGCTCAAATCCTATCCACTGCAAGAGACCTCTGTGGTCAGACTATCCTGCGTCCATCAAAGTTAATCTCTTTGTGATATTGTCTCATGGTGTGTCCTGTGGTAACCCTTACCACAGCCTGCTTTGTATTTTAGGCCTTGGGTCTGTGTCTGTCTCCCTGACTAGACTGTTAACTCCAGGGTATCAGGGCTGCTCATGTCTTATTTATCTTTTCATTTCTCTTAGTGCTTTCTGCATTGCAGGCAGGCACTCCGGAAGTGTCTGAGTAGTACAGAACTCCTCACTTGTAGTCATAAAGAAACAATCTGTAATCAAGTCCTTAGGAATACAACAGGTAGAATCTCAATTTCTATTAACCTCTTTAGATGCTTAGCAATTGAGGAGGTCGTTAGTTTCTTCTCCCAGCCCAAAGTTAATTAAAAGGACAGCTGGCTCCAAGAATTCTAGTTCCCTAATGCATTTTTAAAGTTCTATAGCAAATAAGGTTATTTCAATTCCTGCCAGATTAATGACCTACAGAGAAGCAGCCTGTACTAATATTCTAGAGATAGCAAGTCTCGGGATCCATTGAGAGCAGAGACCAATCCATGCTCTTTTTCTGCCCTGTTGGGGCAGGAAATTCAAAATGGTGTCATTCAGTGTATTCATCAAGTGTTTATTGAACTCGTAGGATGTTCATGGTATGGCAGGACATACCAAGCTGAAGAGAACACAGCCTCTGTTGTGAAGAAGCTTGGGGTTTTATAGGTTCTAAGAAATCACTCACATGACTCTACTGTGAGGCTGAGTTTAATAAGTGCAATTAGCAAGTGAGAAAATGCCAGCGTGGGGTTCAGAGAAGAGAAAGCTACCATCTGACAGAAAAAATTATAAAAAGCTTATTGGACAATGTAGAATTTGAGAATGGCATTGAAGGATAAACAAGATTTTAGTAGATAGAGGAACTGCATGAGCAAAGGTGAAGAAATGGGAAATCCTGGAGCATAGCTGTAAGAGTCCAGTTTATTCAGAGTGGAGAGTACCTATGTAGTCATGAGAAATAAGAGGGGAGGTGGGGAGGGCTCGGGCCATGGAGGATGCTGGATTCCAAATGTATGGCTTGTCCTGAAATTTGTAGGCATTAGGGTGCTAGGAAAGGATTTTGATTAAGGGAGTGAATATTTTAAACCAGCGGTTGGCAAACTATGGCAGGTGGCCCAAATCCGAACTGCCATAAAGTTTTATCAGAGCTCAGTGTGGCCTATTCACGTACGTTTTGTCTATGGCTGCTTTTGGACTACATGGGAGAGTTGAGTAGTTGTGACAGAAACACTGTCCATATGGCCTGCAAAGCCTTAACTATTTATTCTCTGATCTTTCACAAAAAATATTTGCGGCCCCCTGATATAAACATCATTCATTCATATAACCATTATTCATTTATTCTTGATTAATTTAACAAACATTCAGCATTTACAAAGTACTAGTGATATGCTTTGGTATTCTTTTCCCTGTTATTTAAAGTTATGTCTTTATTCAAGTTATCCTTTAGAATCGTTCAGAGAAGTTACATTTTGTGTAATTCATTATTTGACATGCAGCTTCTTCAAATGCTGTGGGAAATGTTCCTTTTTCTAACACTCCTGGCTAATTGTATCAGGGCTAAAGTTCCTATATAAAGTAATGTTTATATAAATGATTCAGGTACAAGTTGAAGTTCCTATATTGTAAATTAAAGACAGAGAGGTCAATTATACTGTATACATAAAAGTTAACTTGGCCTCTTTATCAATAACTGCTTGCCTTACCTTTCCTATGGAAAGATGGTAACAGCAGGGAAGAGTGTGGGCAGGTTTTCCCGCAGCCTTATCCCCACCATCACCTCTACCACTGCTCCCGTTCTTGTGGTGTTCAGCTATGGAGCATGAAAGTATTCCTATTATGACTATATTAGTTTTTTAGGGCTGCCAAAACAAATACCACAGACTGGGGTGTAAACATAGAAATTTATTTTCTCGCAGTTTTGGAGGCTGGTGATCTGAGATCAGTGTGTGGGCAGGGCTGGTTTCTTCTGAGGCTTCGCTCCTTGGCTTGTAAATGGCCATCTTCTCCACGTGTCTTCACGTGGTCTTTCCCCTATGCATCTCTTTTGACTCAGCTCTTTTCACAAGGACACCAATCAGATTGGATTAGGACACACGCATATGACTGTATTGTACCTTAATTACCTCTTTAAAGGTTCTATCTCCAAATACAGCCACATTCTGAAGTACTAGGGGTTAGGACTTAGACATACGAATTTGGCATGGGTAACAGAATTTAGCTCATAACAATAAATAATTTGTAGAATATGTGTTTTATTTTTATATTTGAATTTAATTTAAATGATATCTCTTTATGAGAACATCTCACATTTTAAGAACCACACGTATCTTCGTCCCATTTATGAGCAAAAAATTGTGATGCTGTGGCTGTGGAACAGAGAGCAAGCAGTCCACATATATATCAAGCTAGGGATTCCATCTGTTTACCGCCATCCTCTACCCAGCTGACATCCAGCAGAGGGAGATCTCCAATCTCCTCACATCAGTGCTGCTGAATTTATCTTTCTAAAGGACAGCTCATCGTGTCTCTTCCACTACTGTGGGCATTTTAAGGGAAAGGATTGTGTTTGATTTACCTATAAACCTTAGGAGCCTAGCTCATTGCCTGGTGGAGAGCAGATACTCAGTAAATATTTATGGAAATGAAAGTGAGATGCAAATACATAAAGCTGGTGCTGTTTCAGTTAATAATTTTCATAATAAATGATCTCAAAATGTAGTCACTCAAAGCAGTAACTATTTTCTTATTCACTGGTTCTGTGGGTCAGAAATTCCAGTGAGGCACATTCAAGATGGTTTATATTTGCCGCACATATCCAGAGCCATGGCTGAAAAGATTTGAAAGCTTGGAATGAGTTGATGGCTGAAATTTTTTCACTCACATACCTTGCACCTGGTGAAGGCTGCCTCAGCAATACCAGCTGGAGCACCTATGTGCAGGTTTTCTATGCGACAGTCCTCACAGCTGCAGGGTCATTAGACTTCTTTGCTGCTGGCTTAAGGCTCCAACCATGACTATTTCAATGAACAGGGCAGGAGCTGTATCACATTTTATAACCCAGCCTCAGACATAACACAGCATAATAACCTATTGCATAAGCTATTACAGCATATTGTACTGACCAAGGTTTCACAGGACTGCCCAAATCCAAGAAGAAAAGAATTAGATTCCTTTACTTGTTGAGGAAGTTGTACTCATACATGTTATATAAAAAGTGTAGGATGGGAGTTATTGTTGTGGCTGTCTTTGGAGAATAAGAGCTGCCATTAAAAAAAATCAACCCAATCAACAGATATTATACAGAATTATTTTTGGTCATGAAGTGTCAAAGAGGCTTAAGGATGAATACTATTATCCGTGTGATGTCAATAGAGAAATGGTTAAATAAACCATCTCCTTGGTCTTATCCAGCCATTGAAAAAGTTATTTATAATGATGTGTAATAACATGGAAATGTCAGCTACGTTACTGGTTAAGCTAGATTAGAGGAAGCAGCTTGATGTATGTCTACAATCAAGCTTCCTATTAATTCCCTTCCTAAATTAAACTTTTCCACCCAGAATTATAGGCCATCCTCTTCCAGCAGTCTTTCTTCATGGAGGAGCCAGCATACATGCTTATGCAGGCAAACAGATCCCAGAGAAAGGCCACTGTGTGATGAGGTTTTTAAACTGTAAATTTCACCCGAATGGATATGTGGACCAGTGGAACAATGGATGGCAGATTCGCAATCTCCACGATCATATACATTACCCTTTCTGTCTCAGAGATAGAGTGATGCTGGAAGTGTTTCTCCTACCTTCTCCCCTGTCAGGAAGAACTTCCCTCTTAAGTGAAGTATGAGTGGTGTGAGTGTGTTCCTAAACTAATATTTATGTAATAGGTGAAAAAGCTTGTTACAAAAATATGTGATTTAACTATATACACATATAGCACACACGCACTTAAACCTTACATATAGAAGAAAAGAGACAGAAAGAAAGTATGCCAAAATAAATACTACTTATCTTTTGGTTGTGAGATTATGGATACCTTTTTCTTTTCTCTATGTTTTAGTATTTATCGAATTGTAATTAATATGAATTACCCTTTAAAGAAAAAATTTAATAAAAAAATTATTAAATTATCTATCTACAAATGATAGATCACTTCCTAATATCTCTTTTGGAATAAGCTCTGCTATAGGATTACTACAAGATTTAGTAAAGCACTTTGAGAAGAAACATTCTAAGAACAGATTTCTCTTAATGGAAACTGAAAAAAAAGTCAAATCTAAAACTCGACCGGTCCATGAAGAAGTGAAAAAAAGATGGTAATATAAACCACAAATAAAATTTTAAGGCCCCTCCAACCATTTGAATGGACCCCTCCTCTCAGCCAAGGGCATTCCAAAATTAACCTGAAAAACTTGTTCAGGCCTTAATATAAGGAGGGGTGAACATTCTTCATTATACCTTTCTCCCTTTTGGAACTCAGGAAAATCCAACCAGCATTAACATCAACACAGATATTGAGTCTGATAAGAAACATTTACAAGCTATTCTCTCTGAAGTTTGCTACGTGGAAGCTTCATCTGCATGATAAAACCTAGGTCTCCACAACCCTTTATTGTAACCCAGACAGTCCTTTCTATTGATAATAACTCTTTCAACCAATTGCCAATTAGAAAATGTTTAAACCTACCTATGAACCAGAGCTCTGCTCCTTTGAGTTGTCCTGCCCTTCCAGATCAAACCAATGTAAATCTTAACTTGTATTTGATTGATGTCTCATGTCTCCCTAAAATGTATAAAACTAGGCTATGCCCAAATCACCTTGGGCACATGTTCTCAGGATCTCCTGAGGGCTGTGTCATAGGCCATTGGTCATTCATATTTGGCTTAGAATAAATCTCTTCAAATATTTTACAGAGTTTGACCCTTTTTGTCAACAGTAATAAAAATATCAGAATACAGAACTGGTAAAAATTCAGAGTTCTAAACATAAATATATTTCAAGTGTTATTTATTACTAGAAGGATTATGATAATATGGCAACATTAATTGTCTTTGGGTCATGGACTTATATGAGTGCCCTTTGTTCTCTTATTAACACTTTTCTGTATTTTCAGTTGTGGGTATAAATTACTTTAATAATCTGAAAAAAGAGAGACAGAGTGAGTTCAAGAGCTGGTGAACCAGTGAGACTAATAGACAGGTCAAATCAGGGTATTGACTTGGACTTGGTCTTGGGCAGCATAATTTTTGCTAGCAACGTAAGGACATTTCTTCCAAAAGAAGAGGGGCATTGACATTTTTTCCTCAGCTTTGAGCTTTGTTCTGGCCTGGATTTTGGCTCGACCATCTAGAGCTTCTTGAAAGTGGATGACAGTCATTGTCCCCACAAAGGCATAAAACAAGGTTCACCAGCAGATGCCTGTGGAATGCAGACAGTGGGCCTGAGCAATGAATTCAGCCTACTTGTGTTTTCTTTGGCATGGATAGTGTTTTAAGAAAACTGGGAGACTTAGTATAAAAATCTAGAATTTTGGCTTCTAAAAAATGTGAAAACATTTGGTATTCATTCCAGTATGGACACCAGATACCAGAAGGGGGTTGTAGCTGCCCTTGGTCCCTGTTATTTCCCCAACACTGGTATAGAGTTGTGGTTACAATTCATCATCACACCTGTACTGTTCCTTTGAATAGAAGAGAATGCCAGGTCACAAGGACCTAGTGTTTCAAGAAAAGTATTTTCTTGAGGAAGAGAGGAGAAGTTAAGAAATGTTTGATATGCAAGCAATGGTCTACTTATTCATTTAGGTCACCTGCCTGGGCTGGTAGTCCTTTGAAGTGGTGACTTTGCTGGGGACTTGGGAGAGTAGTGCTGAGAGTCTCTCCAGGTGTCACAGAGTACAAAGGAAATGGATTTCACAGCCCAGGACCAGGCTGTGTGAGACTGAGGGGAGGGTGAAATTATAGGAATAACATGCACCCTCTGTCATCCTCCCAGAAGTTCTAAGGAGGTCTTTACCCTGGTAAAAACCTGTATCAGTCAGAGAGGCTTGGTTATGCGATGGTTTCCATAACAGACCCCAAATCTCGGTGTCTTAAGGCAGTGGGTTTTATTTCTTCCTTACACTATGTGCATGTCCATTGTACGTGAGCCAGGAGCTCTGCTTCATGGCATTATCACTCCAGCACTTCTGCTGACAAAGCAGATGCCACCTGGAACATTGCCAGTAGCTGTAGTATGGGGAAAGACAGCCATGGCACACTGCTCATTGGCTTTTCAAACTTGTTCTCGGAAATAACATACATTATTTCTGCTCACATTTTGTTGGACAAAGCAAGTCACATGACCATGCCTAACTACAAAGATTATACTTCTTATAATTAAATCATGCCCAGATGTCATAGTTGGAAATGTTTGGTAGATGGCTCTGAGGACTACAATATAAACTTCTAGAATCTCTCTTAATTTATTGGTCCTACAGAAGGAATTTGAATCAGTCTACCTTGAATTGGGCTCATGTTGACTTGACTGTTTATGTTAGCTGTATTAGGGTTCTCCAGAGAACAGAGCCAACAGAAGAGAGAGAGAGAGAGAGAGAGAATGTGTGTGTGTGTGTGTGTGTGTGTGTGTGTGTGTGTGTGTGTGATATATATATATGACATAATACATCTCTTTTTTAATATATATTCTATATACATCACGAACTCAGCACACTTGACTGGTTTGTATTTTCCTAAGGGAATGCATCAGTATTCTTCCCTGAAAGATTTTAATGGTTGCTCAAAGGTATTCAAACAGACATTTTAGTCTTTCAGGGGAGTTTTAGCTACTGAAAAGTCACATCTATTATTAACAAGATATACACTGCTTTTTATTTTTAAAGTACCTCCATATGATTTGTCTTTGTGGAGAAAGGGAGGTTATTTATTAAAAAATTTTATGCAGATATTTCCAGGTTTGTATTCCCCCAAAATGTGACCTGCAGCTGGGAGGTGACTGGTCTGACTGGACATTTATTTACTTTTATCAAAGAGGGATGATAAGAAATATTTCTATATATTAATTAAATAGAAGACAGGCTGGGTGTGGTGGCTCATGCCTATAATCCCAGCACTGTGGAAAGCCTAGGTGAGCGGGTCACTTGAGGCCAGAAGTTTGAAACTAGTCTGGCCAACATGGAGAAACTCCATCTGTACTAGAAATGCAAAAGTTAGCCGGGTGTGGTGGTGCATGCCTGTAATTCTAGCTACTAGAGGGGCTGAGACACAAGAATCACTTGAACCCGGGAGGCAGAGGTTGCAGTGAGCCAAGATCATACCACTGCACTCCTGCATGACACAGTAAGACTGTCTCAAAAAAAACAAACAACAACAACAACAAAAAACCACACACAACAACAACAACAAAAAACATATTACTAAAGTCCACGTGTTGGGGGAAATAAATATAAAGCTTTTCTAAAAAGCTCTATATTGTTAGTTAATGTATGATTTGAAGTTTTTAAAAATTTTCATCAAGGAATGCAAAACCTTTATGCAGGTCTCTTTATGTTTTACTTAGCCTGTTAAATAGGAGAAACGAAAAATATTGTTGGATATTGTAAGGATTCTTCCTTACAAATGCCTTCTCTTCTAAAATATGGAATCCATAGTGGCATAATTATTTGCTCTCTCCAAGTCAGGATCCATGAAAGACCCAGGCTCATGGCTTAGAAAAGCAAGATCCCAGCTCATTTGGCTGGTCATCTCATAATACATAAAGGGTCATACTCTGAATTGTACTTACTGGTGGATTTCTGATGACTGGTTTTGTGTAAGTGTAAACTGTCTGGATTAAGAGCAGAAATAAAGGTGGCCTCAACAAAAGAGAGTAGAATCAACTGTCTCTTTGAGAAAATAAAATATAACGCCCGAGTGCCAACAAACTGTCTTCCAAAAGTCCTTATTCCAGGAGCTTGGCTGTTCTAAGCCTTGACTTCTATAGGGACCATCCCTTCAGCGGCCTTTATGCAGGACAGCTGGCACTTTATTTTCCTGCAGAGAAAAGCAATTCCATTCTCCCCAGGTGGCTGGAGGCGTCATTTCTTCTTGTACCAGTACGTGCCTTCTTTTCATCTAAGGATCCCTGAAGCGTTTTGCAAAGAATGAAGAAATACTTGTAGATAACAGAAAGCATGTTACCCCATTTTACAGATAGAGAAGCCAAGAAAGAAAGACTTAAAAAGCAAATGAACAAAAAGCCATTTTTCAAGTATAGCAGGTGATACTTTCAGGCAGAAGACAGAAATCGTGGCTGTAGTTCTAATGGAGTGATCAGATTAAATTACTATTCATAGGCACATTTTCTTGGCGTCTTCAAAATTAGACCTGCAATTAAAACATAATTATACTTTGCTCTTTAGTGGTACCTTTCACCCAGGGAACAGAAAGTGCTTTACAAACATTAATTAAGCAGCACAACACCCTATGAGGAATGTAGGAATTATCCTGCTCTTAGATATGGTTTCACTGAAACTGAAGAATTTAGTAATTTATCTATGATCGCTATGGGAAGTGTCATTCAGTATTCCATAGGGCTGAAGTCTTTCTGTGGTCTTATCCTTCACTTAGAGTCTTTTAAATGCCACAATAACCTTTTATGAAAAGTATTTTTAACAACTTCTTGTTATCAGCATTTTGTGTTTCTAAATTTTTTTAATCTGTGCTTTTGTGAATGCTTTTAATTATGTATCTATTATAAATTTTAAGTCAGAGATTAAACATAGGGAACTTTTGGTATTTTTATTCATTAGAGTGCTCTAAATAAGATCTCAATGTTATCTTTTATTAAATTTTTATTGAACTATATTAAAGTAATACAGAAAAGTGCACACATCATAAATATAAGGCCTGATACATATTCACAAAGTGAACACACCTATGTACCAGCCAGCACAGAGCATTACAAGCACCCAGAACCCTTTCATCCTGTGTCCCCACTTCCAGTCACTGCCCTCTCATAGGTAACCACTAGCCTGCATTCTAGCAGCATAGATTAGTTTTGCCTGTTTTTTTACTTTAGGTACATGGAATTACACTATAGGTGGTGGTTTTTATCTCTCTTCTTTCACTGAGCATTATGTTTGTGAGATTCATCCATTTTATTGTCTGCAGTCATACTAAGTTTATTCTCATTGCCATAGAGTAGTCAATTGCTTAAATATTCCACAACTTCTTTCTTCTACTGTTGATGAACAACTGGGTTGTTTCCAATTTGGGGTAATTTAAGTATCATTTTTAATGGTATGTTGCTGCACACACTCTTCATCAATTAGGTTGAAATAAATCAAGGGTATTCTTTTCACATGCATTATCATTAAAACCAGTGTCTCAATTGTTCATTGAGAAAAATGAATGATGTGTAATAAGGGGTTACTAGATGTCAACTATGCTTCTAATAAAGAGGATTGAGGTCTTAAGAAGCTGTTTCCCAATTGTATACCTCCAATATTGTTATATACCTCCCAATTGTATACCTCCAATACCTCCAATATTGTTTCCTTTTAAGATATATTAATGATGAATATACAGTGGTCAATTAATTCAATCTTGGCATCTCTGAAAGAGTTTATCATAGATGGAATAAAAAAGCGGATCAAATATCATTACAGACATGCTCCTTAAACTACTTGACTTAATGTATGGTTTAGCTTAGAAAATTGTTGGTATTTAAAGCTCAGAATTCTGTGGAAGTCAAAGCTTGGGCAGGAAATTGCTGTGAGATCTTGCATTTATTGGATGCTACATCAAGAGCTTCATCTTAAATGGTACTTTAGAGATGATAATGATTGACATGAACTGAATAAGAGACGTGGATATTCTTTTGCTTGATTCTCATAGGGCTACTTACCAATTAACTACATTTCTCATATTCCTGAATTGACATTAGAAAGTCATTTGTCTAAATCCATTATCCCTTTGTCACCACCTTTTCCTATTCTGTCTTCACCTATCTCAGGAAATGGTACACAGTTGCTCAGGCTAGTGAGCAACACTCAAGCCTGAGTATTCTTGACTCTTTATTTACCTCACACCCAATCTATCCAAAAATTCCTGCCAATTCTATCTCCTAAATATTGTGTGAATCCACCTGCTTTTCTCCATCCCATTGCCACTATCATACTTGGGTCCACCAATATCGTCCACCTGGATCACTTCAGGAGCCTTTCACCTGATCTCCTAGCATCTGTTTCTGCCCTTTTACCATTCTACCAGTGTGTTGAAGCTAGAAGTAATCTTCTAAAACAACAAATCAGATCTATTTTGTTTCTGCTTAAAACCCTTTAATGGTTTCACACTGAATCTGAAGTAAAGTCTGTAATCCTTAACTGAGCCTTAAAATTGACTCTTTTCTCTTTTGCTTCTCTGTCTTGATGGTTTCATGCTTTAGCCACACAGACCTCCTTTCTGGTCTTTGAATGTGTATGTCTTTTTTCACATGCTTTTCTCTTTACCTTCTCTTCCCTAGCAAATTCCTTCTAATTCTTCAAGTCTCAGGTTTAACGTATTTCTTCAGGAAAACATGATCTCATGAGTTCCTGCGTTGAATAGTTGGGTTTCTCCACTGTATCCTCTCATAGCACCGTCTACTTGTATTTATAATATTGTTCATACTTCACATTTTACATTTAATGATTACTTTCCCTAGTAGTCTGTAAGCTTTATGGGAGCAGTGGTTTTGTCTATTTTGTTTACTTATATATGTCTATTACTAAGTGATCAATAAATATTATTGACTGAATCATGTATTTCTATAGGATAGGATTAAGTTGTTAACATATCTCCAAAAGAAACAGTGGACAAGTTTTATCTCTTGAGAAATGGTAAAATGGTATTTTAAAATAGTGAAGTCATTGAAGGAAATTGTGTGTTGTTTGTGAAACTAAGGATGGCAAGCCCCTCAAAAGAGACTATAAAAGTTTCATGCTGATACTTATTTATACCATTTTTCTTGATTTATTTTGTTATCAATAAATAGAGCTTAACTTCACAATATAATTTAAGCAAAAGCAACAATAAAATACAATGTATATGGTCTTTGATAACTCAGTAATGACATGCAGCAGAAAAATATACCCAAAGGAACTCCTTTTCCAGAGTACCTATTCTAACCTCGTAATGACTTGTCTTCTTTATATATTGAGCATCTGCAAGATGAGAGATGATGCCTCTTTCTCCCCTCTGCTGCATCAGCTGTGTGCAATATTGGCTCCTTATAGTAGTGCACAGGAATCACTTCATTTAGAATCTCCTGGGGTTTTTAGTACAAGTGCAGATTCCTGCTCCCATCAAACATTTAGTGAATTAAAATCTCTCTCAGGGATGAGGACTAGTGAACCACGTTTTTTAAGAAGAACCAACATTTTAAAGTTGTCAGCTTAGTGCCGAATCATTACAGGTATAGGAACTGACAACAGGCAAAATGATGTTAACTTTAGGGAATACAGAATTACAATTTTTTCATGCCTTTGTCAGTAAGGTCACAGTGTCAGCCATAACCTTGAAATAAGCCTGAATCTCTAGCATGGTAGGAGTCATAGAAATAATGCTAAAAGGACCTCAAAAGATCATTTGGTTAAGCTTTGAGCTTCAGACATATTTATACCCAAACCACACATGACTGTTAATGGTCTGTTTCCTTGCTGGAGATGTTTAAGGACAGAGAACCCATTAATATATCTGGGTTTTACCACTGAGACAGTCAGATAATCCCTAGGTGATCCTCTTTCAAGTCAACTAAAACCTTTGGGATTTATGTAGGATTTCTTTCTTTTGCTTGGTACTTAGTAAACACGGAGAACAACTAACACAATCATGATCTAAAAATACTTATATATAGACATCCTTTCCTCCCTCAGGACTGATGCCGAACGGTACTTCCAAACTCAGACTTATTGAATTAGAAGAAACCTTAGACGCTACTTAAGTTGAACTTTCTCATTTTACAGACAACTAAACAAATGCACAGATTAGCATCGTTCAGTTATAAATCTGATAGATTTGTAGGCATATTTCAACACCCCAAATTAATTTTTATCCTGGGTTATATTTTTTCCACTGTGCAGTTAGAAAGCATCTGGTTCAAATTCTTCTCTATCACTTACTGCCAGTATGAGTTCAGCACATGATTGGACACACCTGAGCTTCATTTTATCATATAGTAGAAGAAGATAAAATCTTCTTTGGGTACAATTGTATTGAGAATAGAATGAGATGTAGCACAGTTCCCAGAATATAATAGGTGCTCAGTTGGAAAATGCATGTGTTTGTTATTGGTACAATTTTTTGGAAGGCAGTTTGGCAACATATATCAAAATGTAAGATATGCATTCCCTGTGACTTGGCAATTTCACTTATTGTAAACCAGGTTCCACATGCAAAGTTCAGAAACCTCTTATAGAATAGCTCACTATTAGTTACATGTGGGACAGAACTTATTTACTCAAGGAAGAACGCAGAGTAAAGTCTTGATATAACCCAAATACTGTAGAACAGTGATACTGTCCTTTGACAACCTTCTAGAAGAATTTAACTGCATTGAATTTACTCATAAGAAAAGTAGTAATGATAAATAATGAGAGGTAGGTAATAGTTTATTTAATGCATATAATGTGCCAGCTCTAAGCTTATTTACTTAATCTCTGCAATAAATGTTCAATGTAAGTATAATATTAAACATATTTTAGAGAGATAAAGCAACTTGTGCATCTTGTGGGGAACAGTTGAGTGGCAGGGATTGTCATAATTAGTGGTTGAACAGATGTTGGTTTGATTCTGCAGCCAAGTGCTCAAATCTGTAACTCAATTCTGTGGAGATTTAAAATAAATAAGTTTGTACCAAGGCCCGATCCCAGACTTTCTGAGCTAAAAAGGTGAAAGACAACCAAGGTTGAGAACAACTGTCATAACCATTAGCTTCCTGTCACTCTATGCCCTTATTGTGGTCTACTTATTAAAAAGATAGAGTCAGCCCTCCACATTCATATGTTCTTTACCCATCAAGTCAACCAATGGCAGATTGAAAATATTCGAAAAAAAATTCCACAAAGTTCCAAAGAGCAAAGCTTGAATTTGCCACGTGCCACCTACTGTACTGAATCCACAAAAATGAAGTGATTTATAGACATTGTATAAGGCATTATCAGTAATCTACAGATGATTTAAATTTAGTGTGTGGAAGGGCCAGACACGGTGGCTCACTTCTGTAATCCTAGCACTTTGGGAGGCTGAGGCGGGAGGATGATATGAGGCCCAAAGTTTGAGACCAGCCTGGCCAACATGGCAAAACCCTATCTCTAGTAAAAATACAAAAATTAGCTGGGTATGGTGGTGCACATCTGTAATCCCAGCTGCTCAGGGGGCTGAGGTACGAGAATCGCTTGAACCTGAGAGGAAGAGGTTGCAGTAAGCCGAGATTGTACCACTGCACTCCAGCCTGGGTGACAGAGCAAAGCTCAGTTTCAATAAATAAATAAATAAAGTATATGGAAAGATGTGCATAGGTTATATGCAAACGCTATGCCATTTTATATAATGGACTTGAGCATCCATGGGTTTTGGTATCTGAGAGGGGTCTTGGAACCAGTCTTCCACAAATAGCAGGACAGTAGTGTACACTACCGTACATATGATGACCATCAATTATTCTTGCTCTATTTTCACCCATCGAACTCTTCATATAGCATCTCCAAATTGCCTCAGAGTGAGGTCCCCATGTGAAAGACCTTGATGAAGAAACCTAATTAACTACATATGCACTTGAATATTTGTTTTACTTACTAATGATTGGGTGTAGGTTTTCTTCTTTCCCCTCTTCAAGAAAGCTGGGGTTTTGAGGCAGCCACAGACTGCAATATAAATATGAGGAAGAAGGGAGGGAAAATCTTGGAAAACTCCAAGGCCTGACATTTCCCAGACATGCCATAATTTGCTTTTGACCTTGCTCCAAAAGGCGTGGTTTCCATAACAGAATATGTGTAATGTAATGTGACCCTACTGCAGCAGTTCCGCATTAGGCTTCAGCCTTTCCTTTCTTACAGCCTGGGACTGCATTTCTTGGTTCTACCTTGCTAACGGCTAAGACAGGAACCGGTGCCTGGGCCCTGCAGTCTCCGCATACTACCCATCTTCATGGCAGCTCCAAGTTTCAATGCTGCTTCCTTCTCTACCAGTATCATAGATTGGGCGGAAATAATGTGTGCCCCAGGTTATATGTGTAGTTTACAAATGTTCATGAATTATATCCTCCTTATAACCATTTCTGCCTGGTAAAGAATCAGGGACCTAGAATAGTTTTTCTTTACATTTGGTAGCAGAAAAGATTGAGCAAGATTTGGGAGGTGAAAGAATCTCTCAAAGCAGCATGGGGATGCTCACAGAGCTAGACAGAACTCACTCTCAGCAGTTCCAATCTATCAGACATGATTACCTCCCCATTTGCCTTGTGGGCCGTCTCACTCCACGTGAATCTTCTGACCCGAGCTTCCCTCCTGAAACACACAACAAGGTTGGAAGAGGGGTCAGCTGTCTGGGTGATTTGGCAGTGCCTTCCATTAAGACTGCTTCTTTCTCCATAATGATGAAATTTAATCTCACAGTTTAAATGCTTGTTCCAAAATATTTCGAAATGTGAAATACATATGAGCCAAATGACAAAAATGTTTTTTTAAAAAACAAAAACATGGGCTTCTTGTCACCCACCACACTAGCTGTTTCGATGTCTGTTCAGTCAGTACATTATTCTTTCTGATCTTCATTTCTGATGATATCCAGATGGTCTAAAAGTCAATCTTTTCCGTGTGAGAGAAATTCTCTGTGAAGTTAAAAGTGAGTAGCCGTCATATTCAGATGGTGTGGATAGGAATTAAGTGGAATGATATAAGGGTTGTCTGTATTCAATTAATAGTAATTGATATTTAAATAATTACAGTGACTATATGTTCACCTTGGAGTTAGGCTTTATCATTAATGTTCTTAACTCTTAAATGGAAACTGTATCTTTCTCCTTAAATTATAGGATACTTGTAAAAGCCAAAATTGCTAATGTTAACATTTCTTTCTATTTTCCCTAACTCTTCTAGAATTAAAATATTGTTTTGGTGGGTTTGAAGACATTCTGTAGGAAGCTTACCCCAGGTGGATGCTGAGGGCTTGAAGTGGGTCACGTTGTCAATTATGGTGTTTAAGGTTTATTCTCTTTCCTTTTAAATGTAACCTTAAAATGGCTAATTAATAATAACTTATAATGATAATATAATTTTTGTTTGTCATCATCACTTATCACACTTTTAAAAGAAAATAATGATTTTCATTTTTAAAATGAAAATATCAGTGTCAGCCTCTATCAGTTCAGTGTCTATCATAGTGCTTAGCACTGGATAGACACTTTCATGTATTATTTCATTTAGTTCTTTTTAGAACCTATAAGATGGAACATAATTATCCATATTTTATGGATGCAGAAATAGAGGCTGAGAGAGTTTCAGTAATTTCCCTAAAGCTACACAAATTGTGAGGATGAAAACCCAGGAGAGTTGGACTCCAAATCCCGGCTCTTTCCACTTTGCTGCATAGTTTACCAGATGAAAAACCTCCATAGACTATGTTCATATGGAGCAAATGAAAGGTAAGAAGCTTTCTTACACCAGTTGCTTGTTTACTGCTAGAATCCAAATGGAAGTAGGTGATGCTTCACTTTCCCTTCCCATACACAGATATCTTCACACCATGTTCTAGAGTGGGGATCCTCAGCCCCAGGCCATCGACCAGTCCTTGGCCTGTTAGGAACCATGTCACACAGCAGGAGATGAGCAGCAGGTGAGCCAGCATTCCAACCTGAGCTCCGTCTCCTGTCAGATCAGTGGCAGCATTAGATTCTCACAGGAGTGTGAACCCTATTGGGAACTGCACATGCGAGGGATCTAGGTTGTGTGCTCCTTATGAGAATCTAATGCCTGTTGATCTGTCACTGTCTTCCATCACCTCCAGATGGGACCATCTAGTTGCAGGAAAACAACCTTAGGACTCCTACTGATTTTACATTATGATGAGTTGTATAATTATTTCATTATATATTGCAGTATAATAATTGTAGAAATAAAGTGCACAATAATTGTAGTGCATTTGAATCATCCTGAAACCAACTCCCCACCCCCACCCCCACCCCCAGGGAAAAATTGTCTTCCATGAAACCGGTCCTGGTGCCAAAAAAGGTTGGAGACCACTGTTCCAGAGAACAAGTGTTAAATAAAATTATAGGATGCCATTTTTTTTTTGACTGAGCTCCTGTGCCATACCCCAACAGACCAAACTAAAATGGAGTCACTCATGCTAAGTGCCATATGACTAAACTGAAATTTCAAGGAAGCAGGAAAATCCTTCAACAGACTAGTTTGTTTTTGTAAAAACAGGAGATTCATAGCAAACAATTGGAAAGGGCCCAGTTAACCTGAGCCAGCAGAGTATGCCAGCTTTAACCCTTACAAGAAACTAACCTGCTATTAACCAACCCGCTTTTAGTATTATTCTATTTCCTTGTCCCTGCTTAAGCTGCCTTATAAAAACCAACTGTTCCGCCATGCTCAATGGAGCACTGACTTTTTTACGGATGCAGTGTTGCCCAATTCATGAATCATTAATAAAAACCAATTAGATCTTTAATCTCAGTTTGTTGAAATTTTTTCTTGATATAGGTTAGTAGTTGTTGATTTTCTTAGCGGCTAGGGTGTGGGAGAGAACCTTACATAATTGTCTATTGTATGGTGGATACTTAGAAATGGAATTTCAGAAATACATTTAGTTATAAAAATTGTAATATGAGGATTTGAAAAATACTCTAGGGGGAAGAAAACTGCAAAATGGATGCTGTCATATAAGAACTGACTATGAATGTCTCTAAAGACCTAAAAACTCACACTTCGCCTTTTCTGTCTTCCCCACTCCTTCTCTCCCCTTTTCTCCCTCTCTCCCATGCTTCTGTTTTTATTCTCACTCCAACTCTATAGCTTTCTCATTATAAATGATTTTCTTTTCTAACTCACCAGAAAGATTTAACACACTCCACCGGTATAAGAACTCATGACTGCAGTAAAAGGAGGTGGCCTTGGGCAGCAATACAGAGTTTGCAGTTACTTCCTAGATCCTTCCTGCGGTCCCCGCAGTGTGGTCTATGAACCAGCAGCATTTGTCATTACCTGGAAGCCAGTTAGAAACGCAGAATCTCAGACCCCATCTTAGACCTAAAACATCAGAATTTGCCTCTTCACAAGACCCTCAAGGAATGTATATGCATATTAAGTTTGAGAAGCACCACCCTAGCTAAGTCTAATTGGTCTTTCCCTCCAGAGAAGAATCACTACTTTAAAGGGAGAAGGGATTTGGCCGATGACATTGGTTTCAGGGTCCTTCTATAGTTAGCTATGGTTAGGACTGGGGCTGGTCTGTGGGTGGGGAGACACGTGTTACTGCAGGTTATAGAACAGGACTGACAGTGCACAGGTAAAGTGTCTGATGGGGATTCTGGTTATCATTTCACTACCACCACTGATAGGGTTGCCATAAAGCAGGTCCTTTGGGGCCTGGGCTTTTGTAGCAGTCATGTCCTCAATTCTCCATCAATAGATACACACACATACACATGCACATATACATACATCACATATGCATGCTCCTGCCCATGTCAAAAATAGTCACGTGTGCTCCTAAGGGAAAAGGAAGAGAGAAATCAAAATCCATTATGTATCTGCCACATGCCAAGTATTGCAGTAGGTGCTTTCACTAAAAAACTAGAGAGAAAATATCAGGTTATTGTGAGCATGCACTCAATTACTAGCCAGACTTCATTAAGCAGAACCTCTGCATATTTAATAGATGTTTAACTGGTATTTTTAATGATAACCTCATTAAATGATTAAATTAAATGATGAGATCCTAAAAATCTAAGTCATAAAAAAGTAATTATATTAATTAGAACATTCATGTTTATAATATCATCCTAAAAGTCAGTTTCCAAGCAACTTCAAATGCAAAAAAAATATATTCTAGCCTAAACATTATACATTTAACCCCAGCGTTAGTGGCTTGAAAGGGACCCTCTTTCCCAAGAGTGGTTTTCTGGAGTTGGAGACTGTGCTCTGAGTACTGTAATTTAAACAGTTGTTCCCTTACCAATCTCTAGGAAGCCTGTCTTTTACAGTATTTCTTTCTTACATAACAAGTAAAAGTTTCCCAGAACTTACCCTCTGCAAGGACCGGTATTCCTGGCATGGGATTGAGTAATTCTCATATTCTAATCCTTTAATGCTCTGACTGGCTGGGTGATTTGGGGATGTCACTGAATCCCTTTGGGTCTCAATTTTGCCCTCTGTGAAATGTTAAAGTGGTGGGTTTGACTGGGCTCTAAGTTCCTTTTCATCTCATACATATATTCTGGAATATATGAACAGGATATTTTAAAATAGAATACGTCAAAGATTTAAATGGATTTGGCTGGGTCTTCCCACATGCTTCCAGCACTTCCATGCACCCAGAGTCTTCATTTCCTAAAACACCCCTCCTCTTAGAGGCTTGGCTTGTGTTAGACATCAGCTTAGCTACTGGGCAGAAGCCAAACAGCCTCCTGGTGGTGAGGTACTAATTGATGATCACTAAACAAAGAATCTTGTTCTCGTGATGACACCATGGCTTCATACATAGATTTGAGTATCTGCAGTCGATTAATAGGTGGCACATTCAACATGTATTTTTGTTTTTAGAATGTTTACCATATATTCAGGATACAGTGTGTTCTAACTATTTGAAAATTATAAACTCATTGATGGTATAGGAGCGTAACTCTCTGCAGTACCAAATTTTTGATTGGCAACACAAGCAAGAGAAAGAACATAAGCTTTGAAGTTAGAAGGATTTGTGTTTAGATAGAGCCCCTTACTAGGTGAGGGGCAGCTCTGGTCATGACAATCAAATTCTCTGAAACTCAAATTCCCAATCTCTTATGTAGGGGTAATGATATCTACTTTGTAGAGTTATGATAACGATTCAGCATAATGTATACAATGCTCCTGTCACGTAGATGCTCAATAAATGTCTGCTATTGTTTGCAACTAGAACCATGGTTCTCAAGTGCGAGTTTGTGAGCCAGTGTGATCTTTGGCATCATTTTCACCCTTCCAATAGTGTAATATATTTGCAGGGTACATAGTTTTTCACAAATTTAAATTTATATCGTGTTTCTTTTTACACAATGATATTGAGAGTAACAATTAATGTTTTTAACTTATTTAGCAAAAAAAGAGGTAGTTTTAGGACAGCTAACCACATTTTGCTTGTCTAATTTGTCTGACCTATGAATCCAAAATAATAAGATTCATTGAATTAAGATATCTTAATCATAGTGAATATTAAGATCTACTGAATCAGATGATTTTCAAAATTGAATCATTTTAATGAGGACAATAGAATTCCCTAGCTACTTCATGCTACAGCCAGTTACTGTCTCCTGATTTCCTATTATACTTATCAGGATAACAGTTCACGCTTGTGTGTGTGTGTGTGTGTGTGTGTGTGTTGTTAGCACCAGTGCTCAGTGTAGTCTCAGGTTCTTGTATCTTCTCAAAAATATTTTGGAGTCAGACACAACAATGCAAAAAAGGCAGATATTGTTGTTATAGAGTCTGGACCCTGTAATCAAACTGCCTGGATTCAAGTCCTAGATCCACCACTGGCTAGCTATATGACCTCTAGTAAGTAACGTACCTTTTCTGTGCCTCAGTTCTATCATCTATCGCATTCTGAAATCAACAGTACCTATGTAATAGGGTTGCTGTGAAGGTTGACTAATAAAATCCATGTAAGTATTTAGTGTAATACCTGATATATAGTAAGGACTCGATAAATAATAGCAAAAACAACAAGCAGATACAGAGAAGCGAATCAAACACTTGAGAATTGGGGAGTTGGACAGGCTTAAGATCCACCCACTTCCATCACCATCCCCTCCTTTTTGATTTCATTATATGACTTTAGGCAAGGTAGTTAGCATCTTTGCATCTGATTTTCCTCATCTATATAATACCTACCTCACACATTTATTGTTAGTCTCAAATAAGCTGTAATATGAAAATTACTTAATATTGTGCTTGACTCATAGTTTGCACAATAAAAGCTTTACCTACTCCTTTTACAAATCTGTATTTCACACAGCCCTGCCTCTGTACTTTTTACATAGTAATAATTAATAGGTATGTCTTACAGCTCTGTACCCATCGTTGTCTCATTGCCTCTCACCTGCGTTCTCAGTTACTCTATGAGAGAGAGGAGAGCCTGATACTGGTTGCGACCAAGGTTAACTAGATCTGTTGGCCGTTCCTTTGCTTTAGCCAAAATTGCCTCCTGATAGACTTCTCTGATTACAAGAGAGTTTATCAGGAAGGACAGTGGATTGGGACAGTCTGCGACTACTTGTTAAAGTTGGGAGGCTCATGGGCCCACACTCTTTTAAAAACATGCCATATTTTAAGAAGATTGTGTTTGAAGTCTCTCTCTTCCCTGAGAACTCCAACCTCTAATTCTTCCTTTATGTGACTCTCACATTATCTGTTCATGAGGCCAAGGTGGACTTCCCTATTAGACTTTACCACAAATCCTGGCATGCATGAGGAAAACTTGTGAGACATATTTTTGGCCTTAAACTGATAGATCCCTCAAGTTAAATAAGTTCCACGTTCTTAAGGAAAAAAAAAGTAATGCAATTTTAAGAACCGTTTTGGAGTGAGATAAAGTTTCATTTTCCCTGCTGGAATTGAGAGAATAAAGGAATGAGTGATTATAGAATAAATAGCCAAAATAGTTTTAAATATGTTTAAAAACCTCTGCCTTCATATGATGTTCTAATATATAAGGATGCAACATTCCTTACTTCAGCCTTCTTCCTGTGCCTTTTCATTTATTTATTTATTTATTTATTTATTTATTTATTTATTTATGTATTTATTTTTGAGACAGAGTTTCACTCTTGTCACCCAGGCTGGAGCTCAATGGCGTGATCTTGGCTCACTGCAACCTCCGTCTCCTGGGTTCAAGTGATTCTCCTGCCTCAGTCTCCCAAGTAGCTGGAATTACAGGCACCCTCCACCACGACTGGCTAATTTTTTTTTTTTTTTTTTTTGTATTTTTAGTAGAGATAGGGTTTCACTATGTTAGCCAGGCTGGTCTCCATCTCCTGACCCCGTGATCCGCCCGCCTCAGCCTCCCAAAATGCTGGGATTACAGGCATGAGCCACTATGGCCGGCTGCCTTTTCCTTTTCTTAACCTCTTGTAACCTGGTGCCTGTTTCCTTTTCTTTTTCTTTTCAATGAAAGCAGCATTTAAGGAGAGATTCCTTCCAAATATAAGAATGTAAAGAAACAGTTAAAACTCTGACTCTTTGTGAATTGTACTATAAACTCTGACTCTTTGTACCATAAAAGGTATGGGGTGAAAAAGTGTCAAGCATTTTCTGTAGAGGGGCCAAGCAGTGGTGGGCTTCCCATCAGGCAGCAGATGACCTCTTGCCAGGAACGGGAAAGGACCAAGTGCTGAATGCCATGTTCACTTGAGCACCTTTACTGCAATGTGTCGCACCTTAGGACCCCTACTCATAATAGAACATAGAGAGAGAAAGAGGAGCAAGAAAACAAACGTTTGTTAATATCAGCCACACGACACAGCTTTTCCAAAACCTAACTTATTCAAAGACCATTTATGATTTTTTTCCACGTCTGTATATCACCTCCTCTATTACTTCCAGGATTTCTTCTTTAAAGGAATGGACCTTAAAAAAACACATTTTAGTTCTGTCTTAAGAAAGAGCATCTAAGACATTATGGGTTTTATGTTCTAGTTTCCTAACACATAAAAAAGAAACCCATAACAACTAAAATTAAAATGTAAAATGTGTGTATTACTTAAAATCATCTTGTGTAACACTAGTGATAAGCATAGTAAACTTTGGGAAATATTGAACTGGATTGTCCTGCTGTTGAAGTTGCAATCAGGAATTCTGGCCACATTTCTTTTTTCTTTTTCTTTTTTTTTTTTTTTTTAAGACAGAGTTTCACTCTGTCGCCCAGGCTTGAGTGCAGTGGCATGATCTCGGCTCACTGCAACTTCCGCCTCCCGGGTTCATGCAGTTCTCCTGCCTCCGCCTCCCAAGTAGCTGTGCCCAGATAATTTTTGTATTTTTTGTAGAGATGGGGTTTCACCACGTTGGCCAGGCTGGTCTCCAACTCCTGACCTCAGTTGATCTGCCTGCCTCAGCCTCCCAAAGTTCCGGGATTACAGGCATGAGCCACTGTGCCCAGCCTTGGCCACATTTCTAATGTGGTATTAGGAATGTAGAAGATAAGTTGCAAAGCCAAGCTTGGTAGAAATACCTGTAGATGTGCCCAGACATTCAAACCTTCCTTCCCTTTATGTCTGCTCTCAACTCCTCCATTCTAATCATATATGCCTGAAAGTTAGGGCTTCTCTGTCTTTTGCCTTCCTGACCTCCATACTTAATTACCATTTCTGCTTCATCACTGATTGTGGTCTGGGGGTTGTCAGCCTCAGACTGATGATGCCCTCATGTAGAGATTCCCTTTGCATTGGTTTCCTTTTGACTCTGGGCTTTTCCTAATTTTTATTATTATAAAGCTAGTAACAGTAAATTAGTACAAAAGGGCTAAAATAGCTCTGGGAAGAATCTTGTCTGGAGGGATTTTTTTTTGTGACCGGGAATGGGGCTATTATCAGTTAAAAAGCAAATCTTGTAAGAAGAGAATTCCTGAGAAGCTTAAAACAAAACACTGTGTCTGCCTATATCCGTCATAAACATTTTGTATCTTAAATGTGAAAAATGTGGACCACCCTCACTGGTCCTTTCATTATCTCCTGAGCCAAAATAGTGTTCAATGTTGTAAGGAAGTAATGATTTCCAAATATTCTTAAACATGATTTCACTATTCTTCACATGCATCCCCAGAGACCATGGACAGTTTTAGGGCTGGATAAATGCAAGTTCAAAAACACTGAGGAAATTTACTAGTCTAAAACTCAATCTTCTGCCTGGTTTAATACTCTCTGCACTGATCTGTGTTTTCTCTCTTTCTTTTCTTTTTTTTGAGACGGAGTTTTGCACTTGTCACCCAGACTACAGTGCAATGGTACGATCCTGGCTCACTGCAACCTCTGCCTCCCAGGTTCAAGTGATTCTCCTGCCTCAGCCTTCTGAGTAGCTGGGACTACAGGCGTTCGCCACTCACCCAGCTAATTTTGTATTTTTGATAGAGGTGGGGTTTCACCATGTTGGCCAGGCTAGTGTCAAATTCCTAACCTCAGGTAATTCGCCCTCCTCAGCCTCAGAAATTGCTGGGATTACAGGCGTGAGCCACTGTGACTGGCCTCATTTTTTTTTCAGTTGAAAATAATATACATAATCTGGCACAAAATAAAAATACCTAAAATATAAGAGGATAATGAGAAGGCCAGAGAGGCTGGTCCACCTTTACCAAGATATTATCTGAATGAAATGTGGATTATTTTAGGGACAAAATGTGTAAAATAGCACTGGTACGTTATATTACTACTGTAGTTGGTTTATAAAATTCACAATAATTCCATTGATAAAAATGTCAACTGAATGTTATATTTATAATAAATGGGATTAATCTGGGGCCATGAGGCTGTACTGTCTACATTCATAGTTTTAACCAAGAATCTTGTTTGCAGTAACGTAACTCTTCAAGTCACCTGTTAGGTGAAGAAGAGTCACACCATCTGCTGAAGCTTTAAAATGGAAGAACATGCAGAGACCTCAATGCTTTTGAATTCTTCTTCCTCTAGAGTGTCTGAGTTTCAACTAGGTTTTAGAAATATGAAATTCCTGAGTCATATTTACCCACATAAGCAAGTGCAAAATGGCACATCCAAAATAGGCTTATTACCAAGGGAGGAGGTAGAAACCAGGTCATTGTCTCTGAGGCCAGAACAGGGTATTATTCACATTGTGTGGGCAGCTGTTACATTGAAACTCTGCTCAGAGTATTGCTGTGCCTGCAATACTGACTCCTTTTCTCTGTCCCAACCACATAGTTGCATGCATCTGGTAGTTGCAGACCTTTTACAATGATATCTAAAAATTATTGCTCTTGGGTTTTTTGGATTCATGGAACTAGTCCCCCCTTATCACATGTGAATGTTTTGAAACCTAAAATGGGCAAAAAAAAAAAAAAAAAGCATGTTACAGGAGAAGTAGAAATAGTAATGTCACACCAGTTGTTTCTATTGGTTGTTTTAGAATTGTTAGAAATATTGAAAGTGTTTGCTAACATAGCTGAATCTGACCTTTAGATTAAGAATAATGGAATAACAGAGGCTTGGACTTTGCTGATGAAACCTACTCAAAAAAAAGAACACAGATAATACTTCCAACAAAAGCAAGGCCAAATTTCCCTCTTTACTACTCTGCATTTCTATATCCTATGATATTTCTTCCAATTCTCTACATATCTACCTTGTGTCTTCACAACTTGAAAGGCAAGGATAAGCCTTTAAGATTAAAATGATTTGTTTATTTGTAATTAAATTCATAGCTCTACTTAAGTACATACACTAATAAATAATTGCAGAGTTTCTTAATCCTAGAGCTCTGTCTTTGGCCCATTTAATTTCTTCACTTGACTTTTATACCATAAACACTGATAATTCATGTATGGAAAGAAAAGGATGTTGTTTGACTAAAGCTGTTTGCTAAGCAGCAACTCATTACCAGTTCCATCTACCAGATGTCTGACATTACCTTTCAGAAAGAGTCTGCCCTGCTATTATCCATCAACCAGATCCTTAGACCTATGGCTGGGAATTCAGCTTGCGTCAGCCCACAGTTCAAAGCTTCTGTGCCCTCAGTAAGGCAGTACATCACAACAGAAAGAGCACTGGAAATCTTATTTTCAAATCTTGGTTTGCCACTGTGACATGAAGCAAGCTATTTAACCTCTCTTGCCCTCATTTTCAATGAAATAAAATTGGATAAGATCTGGACTTGTCTCAAGTGCCAATTCAGGTTCATTGATGGTGGTATGCTGGAGAGTGTGGAGAAAGATTATAAGACTGAATCCGGGCACAGCGGGAATGAAGAGCCTCATGGATTGATTCAGATCCAGGCTTATCCTAATTGATTAGCTATGTCTTTCCTGGACAGGCAATGACAGGAATGCCTTTTATTAACCTTAGCTAGAAATATACTCTATGGTGCATTTCAACTCTATTTTAGAGAATTGTAGTACATCTCCTTGAAGAAGCTGCAAGAGTATTCTGTAATTTTCAGAAGCAGAAATAGAAGTTCTCTTGACCAAGATAGGTTTTTAGAAACTTGAATTTTTGAATGCTTTGGCCCAGCCTCTCATAATCTGCTTTTGATTATCCATAACCAGTTGGAACAAATGGCCAGATGATACACCCTGTCTGGGGAATGAATGAAAGTACCCACACATTTCTTCCTCACTCTCATGAGACAGGACTTGGAAGGTTTACTTTGTTTACTAGTCAATCAACTCATAATACATTGGTATGAAGTGCTTAGAGCTAGTTGTAAACTGGAAACTTTATAATTTTCATTTCATGGGATCAGCTCTGAGAGGTCTTTAAATCAGGCAGAAGTCATACAATTATTCAAGGCTATACAATCTTAAGGAGAAAGTTTGCCATATAATTATAATGTTGACTTCTATCCTTTGGGATTTATGATAAGTGTCCTGAGAGTTTCAGATACACAAATCTGTCTTTTGTTTGCTCATTTAATAGAGAACTCTAAGGTCCTAAGAACCTCAGAAATTTGAAGATTTTAACCATTGTTTACTTATCCATGGGGCTAATTTGCTTGAATTAAAGCTGGGGCTTTGGAATCACTGTTCGTTACCATCTGACAGTGTACTTTATATTTGAGTAGGAGTTCGAATTTGGGGGTTCTGGGCCTATTTTTGTTTTAACTGGATCTATTCCTAAATTTAGACAAGTTGCTAAAGCGTAATATGTCTACTTTCCTTCCCAAACAATGGGATATTTAGTTCTGCCCTTTGACTGTACCTCAAGAATATCCCAGGAATCATAGACACTCCAGGAGATCCTTCAAGACCATCTGGTGAAACTCACTCATGTTATTAGCATTGTTGAAGTTAGCTAGGTTGTTACCTACCCTGTGCTTTTATGTTAAAGAGCCCTAGGTATTCTCTTAAGCACAGAGATACCGGTTATAGTGCCCAAAATCTGCAGAGACTCTGATTTTGGATGTGAAATACTAATGTGATTTTTACCTAAATCCACAAAACAAGTTCGTCCACTTTGGGATTTCTCAAATATCTGGAATATCTTAAGCAACAAAAGCTGCTGTCAGGGCATAAGTGTGTGTTGGCAAGTGACCAAAGCAGACTTTATACCCTTCAGCCTTCTGTACTCTCTTCTCTGACATTCACTTGTTTTGTAAAAGGCAAAAACAAACTAACAAAAACAGGAGTCATGTGTCATGGTTTCACTTTCCTTAAAATCTATTAACTTCCAGAGGCCAGATCTGCACATCTTCAGAGAGAATACGATTTTATTTTAACGGATCCTCTCCTAAACTATGAATTTAGTGGACTTTCTTCATATAACTAGGTTTACTGTTTTTCTGTCAATGTCTGTTCTTTCTCCTTCTCAACCAATTTTCCCATTCTTTATTCCAAACGAGCAATGGGGTGAGGGGGCAGATCTCTAAAGAAAAAAAGGAGCCCTGATTTGTAGGGTTTTCCAGTTTTTGTGGGGTGAATACTCCCACCGTGGCTGTTTTCAAGCTACCAACATGACATCATGAAACACAAGGTTGAGAAGAGAAGCCCAGCATCACACCTTTTATAGCCTTACCATCACACAAAAGCAATATATGGAAGTAAACTTAAGAAATAGATAATAGTAAAATGTAGCAAAGTAATTAGGAAGTGATGAGTTTTGAGTATATGTTACCTGTTTTACACATAATTCATTTGTTCATTCATACAGTTTAATTTTTAGTAACAGTTATGTTTAGCAACTGGGTCACAAAGTTCCTGAAAATTTAACAGTTGGCTCTTATGAGCTGGTATGGACTGGTTCCAGCACACCATTGCACAAGATTTTCAGAACTAAAGTTCATTAATTCCCTGGGAATTCTTGAAAAACTGGACAGGGAAATGTAAGTCATTGTAAACTCTTACCCTGTACAAAATAAATTAAAGAGCAGGGATGTATCCATTTAATGAGCTTTATTTGGTGCTCGGTGAAAGCCCTGGCATTTGAGCACTTAATGAATAGATCGTATCAACAGCAAAGAGTGAGGAGACCAGGCTTGCCAGATAGGCCACTCCTGAAAACATCAAATAGACTCTAAAATTTTGAAAAGAAAATAAACACAACCGAATATGAAACCAGAAGAATTTGGAGAGATACATTTTTGCAAAGTTAATCTAGACAATACAAAAACAGAGAGATAGTATTAAGTCTGTCTGGGAAGGCAATACTGTAGGTATCATTGTTCATTGTGTGTGAAATGAAAGAAGTAAAGAAGAAAGACCAAATGGAAACAGAGGCTTAGGGTTTGATGTATGTAGGTAGATTAAGAAAATATAATTTGTATTTACCCTGGCTACAAGTGAATGGATCTGAGACCACCATAAGTCAGTCTTCAAAGCCCGGTTAATTGGTGAGAATAGCTCAAGGTGCTAGGAGGGAAGATGAATTTTACTATGTCTAGCAACAGTGGGATAAAAAAGTAAAAACCTTTTTCTATTCTACAGATCTTTCTTCTCTTTCTGCAGAAATTGTCTCCAATCAGCATACTTCCTTACTCCCCACATCTTTGTTGATTCTACTTTCTCTGTTATAACCAAGCATTTACCTGGAAATGTCCTTGTCCATTTCTTGCACAATCCCCCTCACTGTGTCGTCTCAACTTCTGCTGTCCTTGGAATTACAGCTTGAATATCAGTTCCAGGAAACCTTCCTTAACCCCCAAGTCCTACATGGAAGACATACTGAGTTGAAATTGCTCACTAGTTTGTCTCAGTAGACTTAAACTCATTGTAGACGGAAGTGTCTTATTCTATTGTATTCTATGTGCCTAGGAAAATCCTGATTATGTAATAAGTGCTCAATAAGTGCTTTTTCTAAGTTAGTAAAATAAAGAATCAATGCCCACATTGACAACAGGGTCTAATACAAGCCAAGATGTACCATTTAAATTTATAGTGCACCTGATAACTTGGCAGAACAACTTGGGTGCTTCTGCTATATCTCTTTGAAACAGAACTCAAGGAACCTGAGAGTCTTTCTGTTGCTTAATATACATGGTAACATTTACATTACTAGACGATAATGCTGCCTTTACTGCTCTTTCTGAAAAAATGAGAGGGACAGTCAATTAAGGACCGTCTTTTGATGAACATACCTTCTGTTTGGCCTTCTTTATGCCAGTCCCTGTTACTCTTTCATCAGCTACATTAATGTCCTTTTTTTTCTCCTTTCTCTAATTGCCTTTTGGGGATCCTTGCTTACCATACCAAGTATAATAGATAGTCTTTAATTATCTGGATGAAATGAAGAGGGACAGTTGATCCCAATGCTAGCACTCACCACCTTTGAGCACCTTCCTTCACTTCCACCTAAATAATTAAATGCATGCTCCTTTCTACTGCACTTTAGCACTCTGGCAACCACTGCTATCTCCATATTCATGGAGACAAAATGGAGAAAGAAAAAATTACAGGTTAGACAGGTGTCTGGTGATAACCTAAATTACTATCTGTGCAGAAAGCAAAATGTTGACATAGCCCTATTATACATTTCCAAAGACGTGAAATTCAGGTTCTAAATTAGAGACAGAATTCCATTATGTAGCGTGATAATTTATTCTCAGGTGTGTGGGAGGTGTATGGAAGTAAAATGGCTTTAGCACCTGTGGAGTGGAGCTATTTAAGTTGGAAGATATGTCACATGTATGATTTTAAATGAGCAATATGCCTTGTGCTTTGAGTTTTCAGAGATTTACTCCCTGCAGTCTATTAAACTAAACGTGGGTGTTTGTCATTGCCCTCTTGAAGCAATGTAGGCACAACTGAAGACAATCTGTCAAGAGTGAGAACTTTTGCTTCTTTTGTGACTCCACATTCCATATGGAATGTCCCATTGGCATGGATGAGATGATCAGTCTTGATCTGTACTTTTTCTGCTTTATCTTATTACCTCTACCAAGTATGAGAGTCTCAGGTGTCCTCATTACTCGTTCAAAGCCTTTCAGAACAACATGAGCAAGCCTTCAGTATTGTGTTATGTGTTATCTCCTTAGTCATTGGAAATGGCCATTTTGGAGGCCTGGGTATTTGTTAATGGTCTCTTCTCTCTTTGTTGAATTGAATAGCAACTTTTATAATAGTCAATAATTTAATACCTTGAGGTTCCAAAATAAATTTATATTCAACCTCTTTAAAAGATCAAAAATCTTAACTCTCTCTTCTGTTTTTCTTAATATAGAATTTTATCTCTGTCAATCCTTTAGGACTCCACTGAGAAGTTCAAAACAGTTTACACACGTTGTGTCCACTTAAATCTCAGGAGTGTTGGTTCAAAATATTTTATTTGCATCAAAGTCATTCAGAAAATCTGTGGTAATTATTTTCAATGCCGCCTTTAAAACATTGTTTCTTAGAGCATGGGCCAGTCTTTTTGCATCTTACCTGGAGAACTTGCTTAAAATACAGATCCTTGGGCCTCACACTAGATATTCTGAATCAGATATCTAGAGGTAGGATCCAGGAATCTACATATTTAACAGGTTCCTGGATGACACTGATAAACTTTGTAGAAGAAGGACCATAAATTTAGAACATTAAAAAAGTAAAATGCAAGAAACAGAGCTTTCCCCCATTGCTGCTATGAGTTGAGAAAAGTTTATTATTGGGTAGCCATGTAGGTGGGTATGTGTGGCAGAACCTGGGATGTGGTATGGAAGTTTGGGATTATCTCTAAACACTAGTAGACTTATGAATCAATAACAGAATGGCCTACAATTGAACATTTATATTGTACAGGAAATGGCCTATTGTAGAACAGTCAGACTCAATAATAGAGATGGGATGGAACAAATAAGTTTCCTGGGCCCCAAGTAATGTGTGCATTTCTTCTCATGATGTCTGATGAGTAGGTGATCTAAGGACCAGAATTTCTTAGGCCCATGCATGCATTCATTCACTGACAGATAGTTATTGGGCACTTACTTTGTCTCAGGTGCTATGCTAGAATTTGGTAATATGGATGTAAACAAAACATATGTGTTCCTTGCCTTTATGGGGCTTATAGAAGCATGAGAAGGAAGATATTAAACAGGTAATCTTAGAACCTTAGAAGCCTAATAGACTATCTATTAAATGGATAATCTTAGAATAAGTATATAGTGACAACTTGTAGTAAAAGCTTTGAAGGAAAAGTACATGGTGCTAAAAGCTTATGACAACAGGATCTAATACAAACCAAGATATAACATGTAAATTTATAGTGCAACTGAAAACTCAACAGACTAAGTTGGATGGTTCTCCTACATCTCTTTTTTATATATAATAAATATCATCAAAATAATAGCTACCTTTATTGAGTGCCAACTATCTGTCATGGTATCATGGAAGATTTTATAAATGTTTTCTCAGTTATCCTTCACAATGACTTCATAAGGCTTCTAAAGCTATTAAATGCTTCAACTGGGATTCAAATCTGGTCTCTCTGATCCCATTGCCTATATTCTATTCACTGCAATACATTAGACAAATATCATAGATTCATAGAATGTTCACACTGGATAGCACATCAGAAATCATCTAGCCCACAACTCAACTCCTTATTTTATAGAAACCAAAACAAGGGTTATGTAAATGGACTGAACTCTCCAATCAAAAGACGTAGACTGGCTAAATGGATGAAAAAACAAAACCCATTGATCTTTTGCCTACAAGAAACACACTTTACCTATAAAGACACACATAGAATGAAAATGAAGGGATGGAAAGAGATATTCCCTGCCAATGGAAGCCAAAAAAGAGCAGGAGTCATTATACTTATATCAGAAAAAAATAGATTTCAAGATAAAAACTATAAGAAGAGATGAAGAAGGTCACTATATAATGATAAAGGGGTCGATTCAGCAAGAGGATATAACAATTTAAATACATATGCACCCAGTACTGGAGTACCCAGATATATAAAAGAAATATTACTAGAGCTAAAAAGAGAGATAGGCCCTAATAAAATAATAGCTGGAGACTACTGTAGCTCAACATCCTAGTTTCAGCTTTGGACAGACCTTCCAGACAGAAAATCAACAAAGAAGCATCAGACTTAATTTGCACCATATGGATCTAATAGCTATTTACAGAACATTTCATCCATGAGCTGCAGAATACACATTCTTTTTCTTGACACATGGCTCATTCTCAAGCATAGACCTCACATTAGGTCACAAAACAAGATAAAACATTCCAAGAACTGAAATAATTTAGAATTAAGAATAAGCATCTTCTCTGACCACAAGGGAATAAAGCTAGAAGTTAATATCAAGAGGAAACTATACACATACATGTAAATTAAACAATATGCTTCTGAATGACCAGTGGGTCAATGAAGAAATTAAGAAGGAAACTGAAAAATTTCTTGAAACAAATGATAATGGAAACACAACATACAAAAACCCATGGGATACAGCAAAAGCAATACTAAGAGGGAAGCTTATAGCTACCAGTGCCTATAAAAAAAAAGTGGAAAAACTTCCAGTAAACAATCTAGTGATGCATCTTAAAGAATTAGAAAAACAAGAGTAAACCGAACCCAAAATAGTAGAAGAAAAACAATAAAGATCAGAACAGAAATAAATTAAATTGAAATGAAAAAAATACAGCAGATCAATGAAACAAAAAATTGGTTTTTTGAAAAGTTAAACAAAATTGACAAACCTTTATCTAGACTAGGAAAAAAAAGAGAGAAGATCCAATTAAAACCAGAAATGAAAAAGGAGACATTACAACTGAGAACTGCAGAAATTCACAGGATCATTAGTGGCTAGTATGAGCAACTATATACCAATAAATTGGAAAATCTGGAGGAAATGGACAAATTCCTAGACACATAAAACCTTCCAAAATTGAACCAGGAAGCAATCCAAAACCTGAACAGACCAATCATAAGTAATGAGATTGAAGCCATAATAAAAAGCCTTCCAGTAAAGAAAAGCCCAGGACCTAATGGCTTCACTGCTAAATCCTGCAAAACATTTGAAGAAGAACAAATACCAATCCAACTCAAACTATTCTGAAAAATAGAGGAGGGAATCCTTCCAAACTCATTCTATGAGGCCAGTATTACCCTGATATTAAGACCAGACCAAAGACTCATCAAAAAAGAAAACTAGGCCAGGCGTGGTGGATCACACCTGTAAATTCTAGCACTTTGGGAGGCTGAGGCAGGCAGACCACTTGAGGTCAGGAGTTCAAGACCAGCCTAGCCAACATATTGAAACCCCATCTCTTCTAAAAACACAAAAATTAGACAGGTGTGGTGGCACATGTCTGTAATCCCAGCTACTCAGGAAGCTAAGGCATGAGAATCGCTTGAACCTGGAAGGCAGAGGTTGCAGTGAGCTGAGATCATGCCCCTGCACTCTATCTAGCCTGGGTGACAGAAAGAGATTCTGTTTCAAAAAAAGAAAAAAAAAAAGAAAAGAAAACTACAGCCAGTATCTCTGACAAATATTGATGCAAAAATCCTCAACAAAATAGAGCAAACCAAATTCAACAATGTATTAGAAAGATCATTCATCATGACCAAGTAGGATTTATCCCTGGAATGCAAGAATGGTTCAACATATGCAAATCAATCAACATGATACATTATATCAACAGAATGAAGGATAAAAACCCTATGATCATTTCAAATGATATTGAAAAATAACCTTCAACACCCCCTCATAATAAAAAAAAAATACCCTCAAAAAAACTGGGTATAGGTTGAGCACAGTGGCTCATGCCTATAAATCTCAGAGCTTTGGGAGGCCAAGGTGGGCAGATCACTTGAAGTCAGGAGTTAGAGACCAGCATGGCCAACATGGTTGTGCCTCTAGTAAATTTACAAAAATTAGCTGGGCGTGGTGGTGCACACCTGTAATCCCACCTATTTGGGAGGCTGAGGCCAGAGAATCACTTGAACCCAGGAGGCAAAGGTTGCAGTGAGCCGAGATCATGCTACTGCACTCCAGCCTGGGTGACAGAGGAAGAGTTTGTCTCAAAAAAAACTGGGTATAGAAGGAACATATGTCAACATAATAAAAGCTATATATGACAGATCCACAGCTAGTATCATACTGAGTGGGGAAAAACTGAAAACCTTTCCTCTGAGATATGGTACGTGACAAGGATGTCCACTGTCACCACAGTTATCCAACATAGTACTGAATGACCTAGCTAAAGGAATCAGACAAGAGAAAGATATAAAGGGACATCTTGGAAAGGACAAAACAAAATTATACTTGTTTGATGATATGATCTTATATTTGAAAAAATCTGAAGACTCCACAAGAAAACTACTAGAACTGAAAACCAAATTCAGTAAAGTTGCAGGCTACAAAATAAACGTACAAAAATCAGTAGCATTTTTATATGCCAGCAGTGAACAACGTAAAAAAGAAATTTAAAAAGTAATCCCATTTACAATAGCCACACAGAAAATTAAATACCTAGGAATTAATCAAAAAAGTGAAAGATCTCTGTAATGAAAACTATAAAACACTAATGAAGGAAATTGAAGAGGACACCAAAAAATGGAAAGATATTTCTAATCTACAGATTCAATGCAATTGCTATAAAAATACCAATAACACTCTTCACTGAAATAGAGAAAACAATTCTAAAATTTATATGGAACCACCAAACACCCAGAATGACCAAAGCTATCCTACTCAAAAAGAACAAAACTGGAGGAGTCACATTACCTGCTTTCAGACTATACTATAGAGCTGTAGTAACCAAAACAGCAGTGTACTGGCAGAGACAGACACAGAGACCAGTGGAACAGAATATAGAACCCAGAAACAAATCCACACACCTACAGTGAAGTCATTTTTGACAAAGGTGCCAAGAACATACACTGGCAAAAGACAATCTCTTCAATAAATGGTGCTGGGAAAACTGGATATCCATATACAGAAGAATGAAACTAGACCCCTATCTCTCATCATATACTAATACAAAAATCAAATCAAAATGGACTAAAAACTTAAATTTAAGAGCTCAAACCATGAAACTACTACTAAAAAAACATTGGGGAAAATCTCTAGGACACTGGTCTGGGCAAAGATTTCTTGAGCAATACCCCACAAGCACAAGTAACCGAAGCAAACATGGACAAAAGGAATCACGTCAAGTTAAAAAGCTTCTGCACAGCAAAGGAAACAATCAACAGAGTTAAGAGACAACCCACAGAATGGAAGAAAACATTTGCAAACTGTCCCTATGATAAGGGATTAATAACCAGAGTATATAAGGAACTCATACAACTCTTTAGGAAAAAAGTCTAATAATCTAATCAAACAATTGGCAAAAGATTTGAATATAAAAGAAGACATAGCCAGGCCCGGTGGCTCACACCTATAATCCCAGCACTTTGGAAGGCTGAGACAAGTGGATCACCTGAGGTCAGGAGTTCAAGACCAGCCTGGGCAACATGGTGAAACCCCGTCTCTACTAAAAATACAAAAATCAGCTGGGTGCAGTGGTGCATGCCTGTAAACCCAGCTACTCAGGAGGCTGAGGCAGGAGAATCGCTTAAACCCAGGAGGCGGAGGTTGCAGTGAGCCAAGATTGCGCCATTGCACTCCAGCCTGGGCCACAGAGCAAGACTCCATCTCAAAAACAAACAAACAAACAAAAAAAAAAACAAAAAAAAAAAAACAGAGACATACAAATGGCAAACAGGCATATGAAAAGGTGCTTAACATCATTGATCATCAGAGAAATGCACATCGAAACTACAATGAAATATCATCTCACCTGAGTTAAAATGGCTCATATCCAAAAGATAGGCAATAACGAATGCTGGTAAGGATATGGAAAAAAAAAAAAAAGGGAATCTTTGTACTAGATGAAACTAGACCCCTGTTGGTGGGAATGTAAATTAATACAACCACTATAGAGAATGGTATGGAGGTTCCTCAAAAACTAAAAATAAAGCTACCAAAATACTTTATTTTACTGAAATGCTTTATTTTACCAAAAATAAAACAATCTTACTGCTGGGTGTATACCTCAAAGAAAGGAAATCAGTATTTTGAAGAGATAACTGTACTCCTATGTTTGTTGCAGCACTGTTTACAGTAGCCAAGATTTGGAAGCGACCTAAGTGTCCAACAGATGAATGGATAAAGAAAAACGTGGTACATATACACAATGAAGTACATTCAGCCATAACAAAGAATGAGATCCAGTCATTTTCAACAACAGGGATGGAACTGGAGATCATTAAGTGAAATAAACCAGGCATGGAAAGACAAATATCACATGTTCTTACTTATTTGTGGGGTCTGAAAATCAAGTCGATTGAATTCATGGACATAATAGAGTAGAAGGATGGTTACCAGAGGCTGGGAAGGAGAGTGGGGGTTTCAGGGAGGGAGGTAGTGATGGTTAATGAGTACAAAATAAATAGAAAGAATGAATAAGAACTACTATTTAATAGCACAATGGGTAACTATAGTCAATAATAACTTAATCATATATTTAATAGTAACTTAAGGAGTGTAATTGGATTATTTGTAACTCAAAGGAAAAATGCATTCTCCAGGGTGTGCTTATTTCACATTGCATGCCTGTATGAAAACATCTCACGTAGGCCAGGCGCGGTGGCTCACGCCTGTAATCCCAATACTTTGGGAGGCCGAGGCAGGTGGATCACGAGGTCAGGAGATCAATTCCATCCTGGCTAACACGGTGAAACCCTTTCTCTACTAAAAATACAAAAAAAAAAAAAAAAAAAAAAAGCCAGGTGCGGTGGCAGGCGCCTGTAGACCCAGGTACTTGGGAGGCTGAGACAGGAGAATGGTGTGAACCCGGGAGGCGGAGCTTGCAGTGAGCCGAGATCAGGCCACTGCACTCCAGCCTGGGTAACAGAGTGAGACTCCATCTCAAAACAAACAAACAAAAAACAACAACAACAAAACAAAAAAACAAAAAAAAAGAAAACATCTCATGTACCCCATAAATATATAAGCCTACTATTTTCCCACAAAAATAAAAATAAAAAAATACAAATATTGTTAACGTATAATGAGGGAAAAAACACAAGGGCTAAGCAACTACCAAAATTCATATCCAAACTAGCTGGTAGCATATCTGGGTCTAGAACTCAGGTCTTGAGTCCCAATCTAAAGCTCTTCTCCTACTACCTTATTGCCTCTGTATATTTTAATTATTTGTATTCTGCTGGGAATTGAACATTTAATTGAGTCTCTGTGCTAGGTTTTGAAAACTGGTCTAAGCTGCAGAAATAATTCCCTGTCATCAACATTTTTGCTCTACTGCTCTTATTTACCATTGTCTCTGTAGTCACCTTCTAAGTATTCAAAATCTACCTTATGATCCTTAATAGTAATGTACTCCTTTTGAAGTGAAAATAATACCCTGTTGGCACACCCTTTGTAAGAAAGGTACTTTTTAGTTATATTTTCCATAGTGGAAATGGATGTATTTTTTCTGTTTTTCACCCTGAGGTACAGCAATCCCAAGGGTAATGGCAAGGTACCTAGGACCCATAGGCTAGCAGGAGAAACATGGCACATCTTCCTAGAGCATTAATTTAGTCAATGGCAAGTATTTTTAACCTTTTTCTTTAACATTATAGCACACATCAATATTTATAGAGTACAATGCAAAATTAGAATAAAATTGTTAAGATAAATAGAAGTCTTCAAAGAAATCACCTGCTTGTAACTGAGTGCTTCAGACTAACATCCTCAAAAGCATACTACGTCTTTTTCAGTTCCAACATGCTGATTCACCTGCCTTCCCACATACGTTCACTCTTCTTTGCCTTTAAAGATAACTTGATGAAAACAATTAGATAAAACGTGCCTTAACCTTTATTACACTCTCTGGCCTTTTCTCTTCCTAAAGGTGTCATGTAGAGGAAACATCTTGGGGTTTGGAATCACTGAGACATGAGTTCGAAACTTAAAACCAAAACTTTCTAGATGTGGGACTTCCATACTGTGATCCTCAGGTTTTTTAGCTGTATAATGGAGATGTTATTGGGTATGCCATAGGCTATGTTAATGATTAAATGGGAGACATGTGAAGTACCAAATGCGGTATGGGGGGCATAGGCAGCACTAGAGACATGAGAGTTGATTGTGATCACATAAATCACAATTACTTATTTGTCAGACGGCAGGCAGAGGTCAGGGGCATGGGGTATGGCCAGGGAAAAGAGAAAGTTATTGGTCCAAGAAGGGTTGCCTCATGTCTTGGCTTCTGGAACATTGAAATAAGATGTAAGAGTGAAGGACACATATGCACACACACACAAACACACATACATGCACACACATGCATGTATACACCCATATACACACACTCACATACCTGCACTTGTGGGGAGAGGGGAGAAGCAAATAATAGGTGAGAAAGATTGGATCATGGGAGAGAGGCTTGAGAAGCTTGAAGCTTTTGAGACATGAGGAGTATGAATCAACCTGTCATAAGAAGACCAAGAGTCATTTTTCCATCTTGTTTTTTCCCATCAAACACTAGTTTATGTGTAAAAAAGATAAGGAAACAATTGGGATATGATTTTTTTTTCTCCCACAGACACTTTGTTTTAACTCTAGTCTTTATTTCTTCTCAAAACAACTGTGGCAAAACTGGTTATTTGTGATGTCAAGATCAGAAAATACATAGTGCCAGAATTTTCGTGACTCTTGGATTTTGCCCTAAATTTGAACTTTTTTATTTTCCAGTTTGTTTTCCCACTTCCTGTTTCCATGGCCAAGAGCTTTAAAAAGATCAGAAAGTAATTATCATATAATACTAAGCTCATAGGAAAAATGGTTTTATGAGTCAGGTGCAAATTAATCAGAATTACATGTCTTAAAACATTTTCAGGAGGCTATATATAACTTTTCAGGCAAAAAAATGGGTTTGGTTCATCTGAGCTGTAGAAACTACAGTCAGTTGATGAAACCAGCCAATAAATTCCTATACTCTGTGTGCATTATGCTTGTAAGTGTCTCCCACACACACCCACAGTGCAGGAGGCCCAAACAACAGTTCTATGTGGATCCCCCTTCAGTCTGCCTCTTCCAGGGAAGAATTGAAGAGAAGCCAATTGTTCTGAAGATCAGAAGAGGGTTGTGCTTGGCTGCTGGCCTGTGGAAGAGAGAGAATGAATTCCATACCCTCCTCCAGAGAAGATATTCCGCCCACCTCTGTTCAGCTGCCACCTGCAGCTCATGCCACTGATCTCACCACACTTTAGGAATGAGAAAATAAGCGTCCCAGTATCACCTCCTCTAGCTATGGAGAAGATGACTTCATTCTATCTTTCAGTAACATTTCCGTGAGTTTCTTGATTAAGCCTATAAGGAGTTTTGACATCTTTATACTTAAAATAATTTTAATGTTATTTCTAAAAATAAAAATATCGAAGATAAGTGAGAACCTCCCTGAACTGCATCCCCTCATGACTGTATCCTACTTTTCACTCAGATATACTTCTCTGGGCCTCTCTTCATTACACCTTTTGAGAATATTCAGAGATATCTACTCCTTTAAGGAACTGGAACTGGTTGGAGGTGACAAAGCTCTCAGACATGCTGACTTTTTTTTTCTTCCCTGCTAAACATCTCTGAACATTGCATCACAGCCAGATCTGCCATGGTACGTTCTTATCTAGCTTAAAGGCATCATTGCTGGCCTGCCTTGGAGAGAAGACCCACTGATCTTCTCAACAGTGTATGACTAAAGCATAGAGGAAGGAAAATGCTGACAGTTGTGATTAAAGACAGGGGTGGTTTAAACTGGATGCAGGTAATTGTCAGGGCTAAAAGCTTAGGCTCAATGAATCATGCTTTCCTCAAAGAGAACTCATTAGTTATGGGGCCCTTAGGAACTTGTTCTACTTTATGGAACCAGGATAAGGTGAAAAGAGAGGTATGGAAAGGGGAACTAATAAGTACCTTTTGAGCATTAGCTTACAAAGAAACTGTGGGTATTTGCTTTCACATAGTAAAGAGTTAGATAAATTTGCTTCTCTACTGAATTGACTGTCATTTTATAGATACAACCATAATTAGGATCATTTGTTTTCATGATATGTACTTTTGGATGACAATTGTCAGTCCAGAGGGTCAATAACTGAGGCCAAGAGCACTTGGCATGTGGAATGAATCATTGGTGCCTATCTCCCTTTTAACAGGAGAGATAAGTTGAGAATTTGAGGCTAGGTGCGGGATTTCCTAAGACTCTTCCTAGCCAGGGGCAGTGGCTTACAGAATGTGTTAAGTAGAGCATTTCCTCATTCAACAAGTATTTACCGAGTTGGGCACTGTGCTAGATGCTGGGAGTAAACAGAAGAGGCATATCCCTAACCTCATGGAGTCTCTAGATCAGCAGGAGGGAGGCACATCAAATATTTGCCCTGGCAGCTGGAACACCCAGACTTTCTATGGGCCCCCACCAGCTTCAGTAAGAGCTCTGGTTTCTCAACTGTCTGTCAAGAGTGTCTTCAAAGTCTGGCTCACTGGCAGGCTGTATCATTATCACCTGGGAAGCTTGTTTACAATGCATATTTCTATGACTAATCCCAGTTTTAAAAAATAAAAATCTCTGGCTTTTTAGCAAGCTTTCCTAAATATTTCTGATGCCATAAATTCTATCTTTGCACATTTTAACAGTGAGTGATAAGGCTTTACAATGTTTCTGCAAGAGGGAACACATGAGAAAGTGTGTTGGTTTGTGGAGAACACTAGATTTGTGGTTTCCAGATGCAACTTTAAACGTTGGTTCCTCTAGTTACAACTTTGTTTTTGAGTCTTAATTTTTTCATCTTTTAGCTTATTGAAGGGTTCATGTAATAGTGCCAAGTCCAGAGTCTGTGCTTACTTCTTTTGGCTTCTGTATTTAATTAGTAACTAGTTACTCATAAACAATGTTAAAACAGAAGCCATTGACAGGGAGAAGAAATTTGTAATATTTGTAAATAATAGATAAAGTACTATTGTTCACAATATATTTTAAAAGAATTTCTACAAATCAGTAAGCAAAGACAAATAACCACCTAGAAGAATGTGCAAAGGATGTGAACAGGCAAGTCATAAAGAAGGCAATCTGAACCGGAACAAACTCAATAATTTACAAGAAGATGAAAATTAAAACAACACAGGACACCTTTTATTGTAATATGTCAGACTGGCAAAAATTAAGACATCTGACAATATTGAGAGTTGTCAGGATGCGGGTGCAATGGTACTCTCCTGCGTTACTCTTGGGAATGTAATTTGATAGACCCACTTTCAAGATATACTGACATCATCTAGTAAAATTCAAGATTTAATACTAAAGTCTCCATAATTCTACTTCTGTATATATACCCAACAGAAACTCTGGTGTAAGTGCACAGAGTCATATAATACAATCGGTATTGTAGCATTGTTTGTAAGAGTAAAGAATTGGAAACAATCTAAATGTCCATTTTTAGAGGAATATTTAAATAAAATGAACAGTTGAAAGTAATGACCTACATCAACTGGTTATATTTTAAGAACATTATGTTGAGTGAAAATAAGGAGAAAGAACACTCAGTATGAATCATTTATATAAACAAAAAAGAACAAAAATAATATATATTGTTTTCTGATGCATGTTATATATGTATAATTTTTAAAACTGAGAAAGAACCATACAAAATTTATATATGTTGTCAGAGAAGGATAATGGAAAAGGGATGGGCTGAAAAATATGTTTGACTATGTCTGTCATTTAATTCCATTAAAAAAAATACCAAAACCTGGAAGAAATACAGTCAAATGTTAAAAGTTGTTATATCTGGACCATAGAGCTACAACTGTTTGTTGTTATATTGTTCTTTGTAGTTTTCTGCAACATTCATGCTTTTGAAATTTTTAAAAGGAAATCAATGACCCTTCATTGTTGCATAGCTGAAGAAACTATTTGGGTAGATGAGATGGTGGTTGCTAACCTGGAGTGCAATGAGTGGTACTGGTATATCTACTGGCTAGGGGTTCTGGGGTCGGCTGGGGAGTATTGGAGGTCCCCAAAAGACTTTCAGGACCCACCCATGGAGAGGAGACCCCAAGAATATGAACCATGTTGGTAGTATAATTGTATTTGTTTTTAATGCTCTCAGCTACTGTTTATGTAGACAGTGAAATTACCAGTCAGAGACCCAGAGAATAAATAGCTCTTTTTCTTCTCTTCCACATCCCCCCTTCTCACCCTACGCCTGCCTGTGGTTTGGCAGCCACAGTTGACTGCTTTACAGTTGGCTGCTCCTCTTGGTTTCTATTTTATCTTCCTGTCTGGTAGGTGGTTGCTGTGGGAGTATGAAGGAGGCAAGCAAAGAAGAAAAGAAAGAGAGAGAGGATGCAATTGACTCTAGATAAAGAAGAGCCATTTCTTGGCTTTTCGTTCAAAAGATCAGGTTTTATGATCTGAAGAAAACATGACTTTAGAGATGAAGGTACTGGGAATTCTAACTTCTAGGTGCCTGAGCAGTTTTGTAGTGACCCTTAAGTTCTTTGCAGCCCGTCCTCCAGAAATGCTGTTCATGCACACACATACATACATACATACATACACACACACACACACACACACACACGCAAATTCCACTCCTGCCTCCTACACTTTAGTAAAACCCCCAGCTTGTTTGGACAGCATCCACATCTGTGAATGGAAACCAGTGTGTTCAAAAGAGTAAAGCAGAGGCACCA